>NT_187420.1:100294-162952 GCF_000001405.40 Homo sapiens
CTTCACATAAAAAGTGGATGGAATAATTATCAGAAATTTCTTGGTGATGTGTTCGTTCAACTCAGAGTTGAACCTTTCTTTTGATAGAGCAGTTTTGAAACACTCTTTATATAGAATCTGCAAGTGAACATTTGGTGCTCCTTCAGGCCTATGGTGAAAAAGGAAATATCTTCCCATAAATACTTCACAGAAGCATTCTCAGATAATTTTGTGATGTGTGCATTCAACTCAGAGAGTTGAAACTTTCTTTTGATAGAGCAGATTTGAAGCACTCTTTTTGTAGAACCTGCAAGTGGACATTTGGGGCGCTTTGAAGCCTATGGTGAAAAACGAAGTATCTTCACATAAAAACTAGACAGAAGCATTCTCAGAAACTTCTTTGTAATGTGTGCATTCAACCCACAGAGTTGAACCTTTCCTTTGATAGAGCAGTTTTGAAACTACCTTTTTGTAGAATCTGCAACTGGACTTTTGGAGGGCTTTGAGGCCAATGGTGAAAAAGGAAATATCTTCACATAAAAACTACACAGAAGCATTCTCAGAAACTTCTTTGTGTTGTTTCCTTTCAACTCACAGAGTGGAACATTCCTTTTCATAGAGCAATTTTGAAACACTCTTTTTGTAGAATTTGCAAGTGGATATTTGGACCGCTTTGAGAACTTCGTTGGAAACGGGATATCTTCACGAAAACTTGACAGAAACATTCTCAGAAACTTCTTTGTGATGTGTGCATTCAACTCTCACAGTTGAACCTTTCTATTGATAGAGCAGCTTTGAAACACTCTTTTTGTAGTATCTGCAATTGGACATTTGTAATGCTTTGAGGCCTATGGTGAAAAAGGAAATATCTTCACATAAAAACTAGACAGAAGCATTCTCAGAAACTTCTTTGGGATGGATGCACTCAACTCAGAGAGTTGAACCTTTTTTTTGATAGAGCAGTTTTGAAACACTTTTTTTGTACAATCTACAAGTGGATATTTGGAGCGCTTTGTGGCCTGTGGTGAAAAAGGAAATATCTTCACCTAAAAACAACACAGAAGTATTCTCAGAAACTTCTTTGTGATGTGTGCACTCAACTCACAAAATTGAAAATTCCTTTTCATAGACCAGTTTTGAAACACTCTTTTTGTAGAATTTGCAAGTGTATAATTGGACCGCTTTGAGGCCTTCGATGGAAAAGGGATATCTTCACAAGAACTAGACAGAAACATTCTCAGAATCTTCTTTGTGATGTGTGCATTCAACTCACAGAGTTGAACCGTTCTTTTGATAGAGCAGTTTTGATTCATTCTTTCTGTGGAAACTGCAAGTGGACATTTGTAGCGTTTTGAGGCCTATGGTGAAAAACGAAATACCTTCACATAAAAACAACACAGAAGCATTCTGAGGAACTGCTTTTTGATGTGTGAATTCAACTCACAGAGTTGAACCTTTCTTTGATAGAGCAGTTTTGAAACCCTCTTTTTGTAGAATCTGCAAGTGGACATTTGGAGATCTTTGAGGCCTATGGTGGAAAAGGAAATATCTTCACATGAAAACTGGACAGAAGCATTCTCAGAAATTTGATTGTGATGTTGGCATTCAACTCTCAGAGTTGAACATACTTTTTCACAAAGCAGTTTTGAAATACTCTTTTCGTAGCATCTACAATTGGATATTTGGACTAATTTTAGGCCTTCATTGGAAACGGGAATATCTTCACATAAAAACTAGACCGAAACTTTCTCAAAAACTGCTTTGTGATGTGTGCCTTCAACTCACAGAGTTGAAGTTTTCTTTTGAGAGAGTAGATTTGAAACACTCTTTTGCAGAATCTGTAAGTGGACATTTGGAAAGCTTTGAGGCCTACATTGGAAAAGGAAATATCTTCACATAAAAACTAGACAGAAGCATTCTCAGAAACTTCTTTGTGATATTTCCACTCAACTCACAGAGTTGAACATATCTTTTCACAGAGCAGTTTTGAAACACTCTTTTTGTAGAATCTGCAAGTGGATATTTGGACTGCCTTGAGGATTTCGTTGGAAACGGGAATATCTTCACTTAAAAATGAGACAGAAGCATTCTCAGAAACTTATTTGTGATGTGTGCATTCCACTCACAGAGTTGAACCTTTCTTTTGGTAGAGAAGTTTTGAAACACCCTTTTAGTAGAATCTGCAAGTGGACATTTGGAAAGATTTGAGGCCTAAGGTGGAAAAGGAAATATTTTCACATAAAAGCTAGACAGAAGCATTCTTAGAAACCTCTTTGTGATGTTTACATTCAACACAAAGAGTTGAACATACGTTGTCATATCTCAGATTTGAAACACTCTTTTCGTGGAATCTGCAAGTGTATATTTGGACAGCTTTGAGGCCTTCGATGGAAATGGGAATATCTTCACATAAAAACTAGACATAAGCATTCTCAGAAACTTCTTTGTGATGTGTGCATTCAACTCACAGAGTTGAAAGTACCTTTTCATAGAGCAGATTTGAGACATTCTTTTCGTAGAATCTGCAAGTGGATATTTGGACTGCTTTAAGGCTTGGTTGGAAAAGGGAATATCTTCACATAAAAATTAGACAGGAGGATTCTCAGAAACTTCTTTGTGATGGTTGCATTCAACTCACAGAATTAAACATACCTTTTCATAGAGAAGTTTTGAAACACACTTTTCGTAGAATCTGCAAATGGATATTTGGACGGCTTTGAGGCCTTCGTTGGAAATGGGAAAATCTTCACATAAAAACGAAACAGAAGCATTCTCAGAACGTTCTTTGTGATGTTTGCATTCAACCAACACAGAGATGAACATACCTTTTCATAGAGCAGTTTTGAAACACCCTTTTCGTTTAATCTGCAATTGGATATTTGGACTGCTTTAAGGACTTCGTTGGAAACGGGAATATCTTCACATAAAAACTAGACAGAAGCATTCTCAGAAACACCTTTTTTGATGTGGGCATTCAACTCAGAGATTTGAACCTTTCTTTTGATAGAGCAGTTTTGAAGCACTTACTTTGTACAATCTGCAAGTGGACATTTGGAGAGCTTTGAGGCCTACGGTGGAAAAGGAAATAGCCTCACATAAAAACTAGATAGAAGAATTCTCAGAAACTTCTTTGTGATGTTTGCATTCAACGAAGAGAGTTGAACATACCTTTTCATAGAGCAGTTTTGAAACACTCTTTTCGTAGAATCTGCAAGTGTATATTTGGACTGCTTTGAGGCCTTCATTGTAAACGAGAATATCTTCACATAAAAACGAGACAGAAGCATTCTCAGCAACTACTTTGTGATGATTGCATTCAACTCACAGTGTTAACCTTTATTTTGATAGAACAGTTTTGAAACACTGTTTTTGTAGCATCTGCAAGTGGTCATTTGGAGAGCTTTGAGGCCTATGGTGGAAAAGGAAATATCTCCACATAAAAACTGGACAGAAGCATTCTCAGAATCTCCTCTGTGATGTTTGGATTCAACTCACAGAGTTGAACATACCTTTTCGTAGAGCAGTTTTGAAACACTCTTTTCGTAGAATCCACAAGTGGATATTTGGACTGATTTGAAGCCTTTGTTGGAAACGGGAATATCTTCACATAAAATCTAGAAAGAAGAATTCTCAGAAACTTCTTTGTGATGTGTGCATTCAACTCAGAGAGTTGAACTTTTTTTTGATAGAGCAGTTTTGAAACACAGTTTTGGTAGTATCTGCAAGTGGACATTTGGGAAGCTTTGAGGCCTATGGTGGAAAATGATATACCTTCACATAAAAACAAGACAGAAGCATTTTCAGAAACTTCTTTGTGATGTTTGCATTTAACTCACAGAGATGAAATACCTTTTCATAGCACAGTTTTGAAAAACTCTTTTCGTAGTATCTGCAAGGGGATATTTGGACTGCTTTGAGGCCTTCAGTGGAAACAGAAATATCTTAACATAACAATTAGACAGAAGCATTCTCAGAAACTTCTTTGTGATGAGGCCATTCAACTCACAGAGCTGAACCACTCTTTGAAGGAGCAGTTTGAAACATTCTTTTGGTAGAATCTTCAAGTGCAAAGCAAAGAGAGCTTTGAGGCCTACAGTGGAAAAGGAAATATCTTCACATAAAAACTGGACAGAAGCATTCTCAAAAACATCTTTGTGATATTTGCATTCAACTCACAGAGTTGAAAATAACTTTTCGTAGAGCAGTTTTGAAACACTCTTTTTGTAGAATCTGCAAGTGAATATTAGGACTGCTTTAAGGACTTCATTGGAAACGGGAATATCTTCACATAAAAACTAGACAGAAGCATTCTCAGAAACACCTTTGTGATGTGGGCATTCAACTCAGAGAGTTGAGCCTTTCTTTTGATAGAGCAGTTTTGAAACACTGTTTTTATAGAATCTGCAAGTGGACATTTGGAGACCTTTGAAGCATATGGTGGAAATGGAATTATCTTCCCATGAAAACTAGACAGAAACATTCTCAGTACCTACTTTGTTATGTTTGCATTCAACTCACAGAGATGGACATACCTTTTCATAGAGCAGTTTTGGAAAACTCTTTTGGTAGAATATGCAAATGGATAATTGGAACGCTTTCAGGCCTTCGTTGGAAATGTGAATATCTTCAAATAAAAACTAGACAAAAGCATTCTCAGAAACTTCTTTGTGATGTGTGCATTCTACTCAAAGAGTTGAACCTTTCTTTTGATAGAGCAGTTTTAGACACTCTTTGTAAAATCTGCAAGTGGACACTTTGAAAGCTTTGAGGCCTATGGTGGAAAAGGAAATACCTTCACATAAAAACCAGACAGAAGCAGTCTCAGAAACTTCTTTGAGTTGTTTGCATTCACCTCACAGAGTTGAACATAAGTTTTCATAGAGCAGTTTTGAAACACTCTTTTCGTAGAATCTGCAAGTGGATATTTGGACTGCTTTTAGGTTTTCTTTGGAAACAGGAATATCTCTACATAAAAACTAGAGAGATGCATTCTCAGAAAGTTCTTTGTAATGTGTGCATTCAACTCACAGATTTGAACATACCTTGTCATAGAGCAGTTTTGAAACACTCGTTTCGTAGAATCTGCAAGTGGATATTTGGACTGCTTTGAGGCCTTCGTTTTAAACGGGAATATCTTCACATAAGAACTAGACAGAGGAATTCTGGGAAATTTCTTTGTGATGTGTGCATTCAACTCACAGAGTTGAACCTTTCTTTTGATAGAGCAGTTTGGAAACACTCTTTTCGCAAAATCTGCAAAGTGGATATTTGCACTTCTTTGAGGCCTTCGTTGGAAACGGGAATATCTTCACATAAAAACTAGACAGAAGCATTCTCAGAAACTTCTTTGTGATCTGCACATTCAACACAAAGAGTTGAATCTTTCTTTTGATAGAGCAGTTTTTAAACACTCTTTTTGTAGAATCTGCAAGTGGACATTTGGAAAGCTTTGAGGCCTGTGGTGGAAAAGGAAATACCTTCACATAAAAACCAGACGGAAGCATTCTCAAAACTTCTTTATATTGTTTGCATTCAACCCACAGAGTTGAACATACCTTTTCATAGAGCAGTTTTGAAACACTCTTTTTGTAGAATCTGCAAGTGGATATATGGAGTGCTTTGAGGCTTTCTTTGTAAACGGGAATATCTTCACATAAAAACTAGAGAGAAGCATTCTCAGAACCTTCTTTGTGATGTGTGCATTCAACTCACGGAGCTGAACCTTTCTTTTGATAGAGCTGTTTTGAAGCACTGTTTTTTTAGAATCTGCATGTGGAAATTTTCAGAGCTTCGAGGCCTGTGGTGGAGAAGGAAATATCTTCACATAAAAACTAGACAGAAGCATTCTCAGAAACTTGTTTGTGACGTTTGCATTCAACTCACAGAGTTGAACATACCTTTTCATAGAGCAGTTTTGAAACACTCTTTTTGTAGGATCTGCAAATGGATATTTGGACTGCTTTGAGGCCTTCGTTGGAAAGAGGAATATCTTCACATGAAAACTAGATGGAAGCATTCTCAGAAACTTCTTTGTGATGTGTGAATTCAACTCACAGAGTTGAACCTTTCTTTTGATAGAGCAGTTTTGAATCACTCATTTTCTAGAATCTGCATTGGATATTTGGAGAGCTTTAAGGCCTATGGTGAAAGGAAATAGCTTCACATAAAAACAAGACAGAAGCATTCTCAGAAACTTCTTTGTGATGTGTGCATTCAACTCACAGAGTTGAAAGTACCTTTTCATAGAGCAGATTTGAGACATTCTTTTCGTAGAATCTGCAAGTGGATATTTGGACTGCTTTAAGGCCTTGGTTGGAAAAGGGAATATCTTCACATAAAAATTAGACAGGAGGATTCTCAGAAACTTCTTTGTGATGGTTGCATTCAACTCACAGAATTAAACATACCTTTTCATAGAGAAGTTTTGAAACACACTTTTCGTAGAATCTGCAAATGGATATTTGGACGGCTTTGAGGCCTTCGTTGGAAATGGGAAAATCTTCACATAAAAACGAAACAGAAGCATTCTCAGAACGTTCTTTGTGATGTTTGCATTCAACCAACACAGAGATGAACATACCTTTTCATAGAGCAGTTTTGAAACACCCTTTTCGTTTAATCTGCAATTGGATATTTGGACTGCTTTAAGGACTTCGTTGGAAACGGGAATATCTTCACATAAAAACTAGACAGAAGCATTCTCAGAAACACCTTTTTTGATGTGGGCATTCAACTCAGAGATTTGAACCTTTCTTTTGATAGAGCAGTTTTGAAGCACTTACTTTGTACAATCTGCAAGTGGACATTTGGAGAGCTTTGAGGCCTACGGTGGAAAAGGAAATAGCCTCACATAAAAACTAGATAGAAGAATTCTCAGAAACTTCTTTGTGATGTTTGCATTCAACGAAGAGAGTTGAACATACCTTTTCATAGAGCAGTTTTGAAACACTCTTTTCGTAGAATCTGCAAGTGTATATTTGGACTGCTTTGAGGCCTTCATTGTAAACGAGAATATCTTCACATAAAAACGAGACAGAAGCATTCTCAGCAACTACTTTGTGATGATTGCATTCAACTCACTGTGTTAACCTTTATTTTGATAGGGCAGTTTTGAAACACTGTTTTTGTAACATCTGCAAGTGGTCATTTGGAGAGCTTTGAGGCCTATGGTGGAAAAGGAAATATCTTCACATAAAAACAGGACAGAAGAATTTTCAGAATCTCTGCTGTGATGTTTGCATTCAACTCACAGAGTTGAACGTCCCTTTTCATAGAGCAGTTTTGAAACACTCTTCGTAGAATCTGCCAGTGGATATTTGGGAAGCTTTGAGGCCTATGGTGGAAAATGATATACCTTCACATAAAAACCAGACAGAAGCATTTTCAGAAACTTCTTTGTGTTGTTTGCATTCAACTCACAGAGATGAACATACCTTTTCACAGCACAGTTTTGAAAAACTCTTTTCATAGTATTTCCAAGGGGATATTTGGACTGCTTTGAGGCCTTCGGTGGAAACGGAAATATCTTAACATAAAAACTAGACAGAAGCATTCTCAGAAACTTCTTTGTGATGAGGCCATTCAACTCACAGAGCTGAACCACTCTTTTGAAGGAGCAGTTTGAAACATTCTTTTTGTAGAATCTGCAAGTGGACATTTGGAGAGCTTTGAGGCCTACAGTGGAAAAAGAAATATCTTCACATAAAAACTGGACAGAAGCATTCTCAGAAACATCTTTGTGATATTTACATTAACTCATAGAGTTGAAAATAACCTTCCATAGAGCAGTTTTGAAACACTATTTTCGTAGAATCTGCACGTGGACATTTGGAGATCTTTGAGGCCTATGGTGGAAAAGGAAATATCTTCACATAAAAACTAGACAGAAGCATTCTCAGAAACTTCTTTGTGATGTCTGCATTCAACTAATAGAGTTTAACATACCTTTTCATAGAGAAGTTTTGAAACACTCTTTTGGTAGAATCCGCAAGTGGATATTTGGAAAGCTTAGAGGCCTTCATAGGAAATGGGAATATCTTCACATGAAAACTAGACAGAGGCATTCTGAGAAACTTCTTTGTGATGTGTGCATTCTACTCAAAGAGTTGAACCTTTCTTTTGATAGAGCAGTTTTAGACACTCTTTGTAAAATCTGCAAGTGGACACTTTGAAAGCTTTGAGGCCTACGGTGGAAAAGGAAATACCTTCACATAAAAACCAGACAGAAGCAGTCTCAGAAACTTCTTTGAGTTGTTTGCATTCACCTCACAGAGTTGAACATAAGTTTTCATAGAGCAGTTTTGAAACACTCTTTTCGTAGGATCTGCAAGTGGATATTTGGACTGCTTTGAGGCCTTCGTTGGAAAGGGGAATATCTACACATAAAAACTAGACAGAAGCATTCTCTGCAACTTCTTTGTTATGTCTGCATTCAACTTACAGATTTGAACCTTTCTTTTGATAGAGCAGTTTTGAAACACTGTTTTTGTAGAATCTGCAGGTGGACATTGGGAGAGCTTTGAGGCCTATGGTGGAAAAGGGAACATCTTCACATAAAAACTAGACAGAAGCATTCTCAGAAATTTCTTTGTGGTGTTTCCATTCAACACACAGCGTTGAACATACCTTTACCTAGAGCAGTTTTGAAACACTCTTTTCGTAGATTCTGCAAGTTGTTATTTTGTCTGATTTGAGGCCTTTGTTGGAAACAGGAATACCTATACATAAAAACCAGACAGAAGCATTCTCAGAAACTACTTTGTGATGTGTCCATTCAACTCACAGAGTTGAACCTTCTTTTCATAGAGCATTTTTGAAACACTCTGTTTGTAGAATCTGCAAGTGGATATTTGGAGAAATTTGAGACCTATGGTAGAAAAGTAAATATTTTCATATAAAAACTAGACACAAGGATTCTCAGAAACTACTTTGTGATGTCTGCATTCAACTCACAGAGTTGAAAATTTCTTCAGTTTTAAAACACTCTTTTTGTGGAAACTGCAAGTGGACATTTGGAGATCTTTGAGGCCTATGATGGAAAAGGAAATATCTTCACATAAAAACCAGACAGAAGAATTCTCAGAAACATGTTTGTGATGATTGCATTAAACTCACAGAGTTGAACATACCTTTTCATAGAGCATTTTGGAAACACTCCCTACGTAGATTCTGCAAGTGGATATTTGGACTGATTTGAGGCCTTCATTGGAAACAGCAATATCTTCACATAAAAACTAGACAGAAGCATTCTCAGAAAGTTCTTTGTGATGTGTGCATTCAACTCACAGAGTTGAACCATTATTTTGACAGAGCACTTTTGAAACAATCATTTTGTAGAATCTACATGTGGATAATTAGAAAGCTTTGAGGCCTATGGCAGAAAAGGAAATATCTTCACATAAGAACTAGAAAGAAGCATTCTCAGAAACTTCTTTGTGGTGTTTGCATTCAACTCACAGATTTGAACATACCTTTTCATAGAGCAGTTTTGAAACACTCGTATAGCAGAATCTGCAAGTGGATATTTGGACTGCTTTGAGACCTTTGTTGGAAACGGGAATATCTTCACATAAAAACTACACAGAAGCATGCTCAGAAACTTCTTTGTGATGTGTGCATTCAACTCACAGAGTTGAAACTTTCCTTTGATAGAGCAGTTTTGAAACACTCAATTTGTAGAATCTGTAAGTGCACATTTGGAGAGATTTGAGGCCTGTGGTCAAAATGAAATATCTTCACATAAAAAGTAGACCGAAGCATTCTCAGAAATTGTTTTGATGTTTGCATTCAACTCACAGAGTTGAACATACCTTTTCATAGAGCAGTTTTGAAACACTTTTTTCGTAGTATCTGCAAGTGGATATTTAGACTGCTTTGAGGCAAAACGGGAATATCTTCACAGAAAAACTAGACAGAGGCATTCTCAGAAACTGCTTTGTGATGTGTGCATTCAACTCACAGAGTTGAACCTTTCTTTTGATAGAGCAGTTTTGAAACACTCATTTTCCAGGATCTACAAGTGGACATTTGGAGAGAATTGAGGCCTATGGTGGAAAGGAAATATCTTCACAAAAAAATTAGACAGAAGAATACTGAGAAACTTCTTTGTGATGATGTTTTCATTCAACTCACCGATTTGAACACAAGTTTTCTTCGAGCAGTTTTGAAGCACTCTTTTCGTAGTTTGTGCATGTGGATATTTGGAGTGCTTTGAGGCCTTATTTGGAAACGGGAGTAACTTCACATAAAAACTAGACAGAAGCATTCTCAGAAACTTCTTTGTGATGTGTGCATTCAAATCACATAGTTGAACGTAGCTTTTCATAGAGCAGTTTTGAAACACTATTTTCGTAGAATTTGAAAGTGGAAATTTGGAGACCTTTAAGGCCTATGATGGAAAAGAAAATATCTTCTCATATGAACTAGACAGAAGCATTCTCAGAAACTTCTTTGTGATGTTTGCATTCAACTCACAGAGTTGAACATACCTTTTCATATAGCACTTTTGAAAACTCTTTTCATAGAATCTGCAAGTGGATATTTGGACTGCTTTGAGGCCTTCATTGGAAACATCAATATCTACACATAAAAAATAGAAAGAAGCATTCTCAGAAACTTCTTTGGGATGTGTGCATTCAACTCACAGAGTCGAACCTTTTTTTGATAAAGCAGTTTTGAAACACTCACTTTGCAGTATCTACAAGTGGACATTAGGAGAGCGCAGAAGCCAATGGTGGAAAGGAAATATCTTCACCTAAAAATCAGACAGAAGCATTCTCAGAAACGTCTTTGTTGTGTTTGCATTCAACTCTCATATTTGAACATACCTTTTCTTAGAGCGGTTTTGAAACACTTTTTTACATGAATCTGCAAGTGTATATTTGGACTGTTTTGAGGCCATCGCTGGAAACGGGAATATCTTCACATAAAAACTAGACAGAAGGATTCTCAGAAACTTCTTTGTGATGTGTGCACTCAACTAACAGAATTGAACCTTTCTTTTGATAGAGCAGATTAGAAGCACTCTTTTTGTAGTATCTGCAAGTGGACATTTGGAAACTTTGAGGCCTATGGTGAAAAAGGAAATATCTTCACATAAAAACTACACAGTAGCATACTAAGAAACTACTTTGTGATGTTTTCATTCAACTCCCAGAGTTGAAGATCCCTTTTCATAGAGCAGTTTTGAAACACTCTTTACGTTGATTGTGCAAATGGATATTTGGACTGCTTTGGGGCCTTCGTTGAAAACGGGAATACCAACACATACAAACTAAACAGAAGGATTCTCAGAAACTTCTTTCTGACGTGTGCATTCAACTCACAGAGTTTAACCTTTCTCTTCATAGAGCAGATTTGAAACATCGTTTTTGTAGAATCTGCAAGTGGACATTTGGAGAGCTTTGAGGCCTATGGTAGAAAATGAAATATCTTCAGATAAAAAATAGACAGAAGCATTCTCAGAAACTTCTTTGTGGTGTTTGTATTTACCTCACAGAGTTGAATATATTTTTTCATAGAGCATTTTTGAAACACTCTTTTCGTAGAATCTGCAAGTGAACACTTAGAGAGCTTTGAGGCCTATGGTGGGAAAGGAAATATATTCACAGAAAAACAACACAGAAGCATTCTCAGAAACTTCTTTGTGATGTTTGCATTCAACTCACAGATTTGAACATACCTTTTCATAGAGCAGTTTTGAAACACTATTTTCTTATATCTGCAAGTGGATGTTTGGACTGCTTTGAGGCCTTCGTTGGAAACGGGAATATCTTCACATAAAAATTAGACAGAAGAATTCTCAGAAACTTCTTTGTGATGTGTGCATTCAACTCACAGATTTGAACATACCTTTTCATAGAGCAGTTTTGAAACACTCTTTTCGTAGAATCTGCGTGTGGATAGTTGGATTGCTTTGAGACCTTCGTTGGAAACGGGAATATCTTCACATAAAAACTAGACAGAAGCATTATCAGAAACTTCTTTGTGATGTGTGCATTCAACTCACAGAATTGAAACTTTCTTTTGATACAGCTGTTTTGAAACACTCTTTTTGTAGAATCTGCAAGTGGACATTTGGAGAGCTTTGAGGCCTATGGTGGAAAAGGGAATATCTTCACATAAAATCTAGGCAGAAGCATTCTCAGAAAGTTTTTGTGATGTTTGCATTCAACTCACAGAGTAGAACATACCTTTTCACAGAGCAGTTTTGAAACACTCTATTCGTGGTATCTGCAAGTGGATATTTGGACTGCTTTGAGGCCTTCATTGAAAATGGGAATATCTTCACATGAAAACTAGACAGAAGAATTCTGAGAAAGTACTTTGTGATATGTGCCTTCAACTCACAGAGTTGAAACTTTCTTATGATAGAGCAGTTTTGAAACACTCTTTTTGTAGAATCTGCAAGTGGACATTTGGAGAGCTTCGAGGCCTATGGTAGAAAAGGGAATATATTCACATAAAACCCAGACCGAAGCATTCTCAGAAACTTCTTTGTGATGTTTGTCTTCAACTCACAGAATTTAACATACCTTTTCATAGACCAGTTTTGAAACACTCTTTTCTTAATACTGCAAGTGGATATTTGGACTACTTTGAGGCCTTCATTGGAAACGGGAATATCTTCATATAAAAACTAGACAGAAACATTCTCAGAAACTTCTTTGTGATGTGTGCATTCAACTCATAGAGTTGAACCTTTCTTTTGATTCAGCAGCTTTGAAAAATTCTTTTTGTAGAATCTGCAAGTGGACATTGGGAGCATTTTGAGGCCTATGGTGGAAACTGAAATATCTTCAGAAAAAAACTTCACAGAAGCATTCTCAGAAACTTCTTCATGTTGTTTGCATTCAACTCACAGAGATGAAGATACCTTTTCATAGGGTAGTTTTGAAACACTGTTTTCGTAGAATTTGCAAGTGGATATTTGGACTGCTTTGAGGCTTTTGTTGTAAACGGGAATATCTTCACATAAAAACTAGACCGAAGCATTCTCAGAAACTTCTTTGTGATGTGTGTATTCAACTCAGAGAGTTGAACCTTTCTTTTGATAGATCAGTTTTGAAACACTCATTTTGCAGAAGCTACAAGTGGTCATTTGGAGAGATTTGAGGCCTATGGTGGAAGTAAATGTCTTCACATAAACATTAGACAGAAGCATTCTCAGAAACTTTCTGATACTTGCATTCAACTCACAGAGTTGAACACAGCTTTTCATAGAGCAGTTTTGAAACACTCTTTTCGTAGAATCTGCAAGTGGGTATTTGGACTGCTTTGAGGTCTTCGTTTTAAACGGGAATATCTTCACATAAATACTAAACAGAGAGCCGAGATGGCCGAATACTAACAGCTCCAGTCTACAGCTCCCAGCATGAGTGACACAGAAGACGGGTGATTTCTGCATTTCCATTTGAGGTACCGGGTTCATCTCACTAGGGAATGCCAGGCAGTGGGCGCAGGTCAGTGGGTGCATGCACGATGCACGAGCCGAAGCAGGGTGAGGCATTGCCTCACTCGGGAAGCACAAGGGGTCAGGGAATTCCCTTTCCTAGTCAAAGAAAGGGGTGACAGACGGCACCTGGAAAATCGGGTCACTTCCACCCGAATACTGTGCTTTTCCAATGGACTTAAAAAATGGCACACCATGAGATTATATCCCGCAGCTGGTTTGGAGGGTCCTACGCCCACGGAGTCTCACTGATTGCTAACACAGCAGTCTGAGATCAAACTGCAAGGCTGCAGCGAGGCTGGGGGAGGGGTGCCCGCCATTGCCCAGGCTTGCTGAGGTAAACAAAGCAGCCGGGAAGCTCGAACTGGGTGGAGCCCACCACAGCTCAAGGAGGCCTGCCTGCCTCTGTAGGCTCCACCTCTGGGGGCAGGGCACAGACAAACAAAAAGACAGCAGTAACCTCTGCAGACTTATATGTCCCTGTCTGACTGCTTTGAAGAGAGCAGTGGTTCTCCCAGTATGCAGCTGGAGATCTGAGAACGGGCAGACTGCCTCCTCAAGTGGATCCCTGACCCCTGACCCCCGAGCAGCCTAACTGGGAGGCACGCCCCAGCAGGGGCACACTGACACCTCACACGGCAGGGTACTCCAACAGACCTGCTGCTGAGGGTCCTGTCTGTTAGAAGGAAAACTAACAAACAGAAAGGGCATCCACACCAAAAACCCATCTGTACATCACCATCATCAAAGACCAAAAGTAGATAAAACCACAATGATGGGGAAAAAACAGAAAAGAAAAACTGGAAACTCTAAAAAGCAGAGCGCCTCTCCTCCTCCAGAGGAACGCAGTTCCTCACCAGCAATGGAACAAAGCTGGACGGAGAACGACTTTGACGAGCTGAGAGAAGAAGGCTTCAGACGATCAAATTACTCTGAGCTATGGGAGAACATTCAAACCAAAGGCAAAGAAGTTGAAAAGTTTGAAAAAAATTTAGAAGAATGTGTAACTAGAATAACCAATACAGAGAAGTGCTTAAAGGAGCTGATGGAGCTGAAAACCAAGGCTCGAGAACTACGTGAAGAATGCAGAAGCCTCAGGAGCTGATGCGATCAACTGGAAGAAACGGTATCAGCAATGGAAGATGAAATGAATGAAATGAAGAGAGAAGGGAAGTTTAGAGAAAAAAAGAATAAAAAGAAATGGGCAAAGCCTCCAAGAAATATGGGACTATGTGAAAAGACCAAATCTACGTCGGATTGGTGTACCTGAAAGTGACGGGGAGAATGGAATCAAGTTGGAAAACACTCTGCAGGATATTACCCAGGAGAACTTCCCCAATCTAACAAGGCAGGCCAACGTTCAGATTCAGGAAATACACAGAACGCCACAAAGATACTCCTCGAGAAGAGCAACTCCAAGACACATCATTCTCAGATTCACCGAAGTTGAAATGAAGGAAAAAACGTTAAGGGCAGCCAGAGAGAAAGGTCGGGTTACCCTCAAAGGGAAGTCCATCAGACTAACAGCGGATCTCTTGGCAGAAACCCTAGAAGCCAGAAGAGAGTGGGGGCCAATATTCAACATTCTTAAAGAAAAGAATTTTCAACCCAGAATTTCATATCCAGCCAAACTAAGCTTCATAAGTGAAGGAGAAATAAAATCCTTTACAGACAAGCAAATGCTGAGAGATTTTGTCACCACCAGGCCTGCCCTAAAAGAGCTCCTGAATGAAACGCTAAACATGGAAAGGAACAACCAGTACCAGCCACTGCAAAATCATGCCAAAATGTAAAGACCATAGAGACTAGGAAGAAACTGCATCAACTAATGAGCAAAATAACCAGCTAACATCATCATGACAGGATCAAATTCACACATAACAATATTAAATTTAAATGTAAATGGACTAAATGTTCCAACTAAAAGACACGGACTGGCAAATTGGATAAGGAGTCAAGACCCATCAGTGTGCTGTATTCAGGGAACCCATCTCACCTGCAGAGACACACATAGGCTCAAAATAAAAGCTTGGAGGAAGATCTACCAAGCAAAGGGAAAAAAAAAAGGTAGGGGTTGCAATCCTAGTCTCTGATAAAACAGACTTTAAACCAACAAAGAACAAAAGAGACAAAGAAAGCCATTACATAATGGTAAAGGGATCAATTCAACAAGAAGAGCTAACTATCCTCAATATATATGCACCCAATACAGGAGCACCCAGATTCATAAAGCATGTCCTGAGTGACCTACAAAGAGACTTAGACTCTCGCACATTAATAATGGGAGATTTTAACACCCCACTGTCAATATTAGACAGATCGAGACAGAAAGTCAACAAGGATACCCAGGAATTGAACTCAGCTCTTCACCAAGCGGACCTAAAAGACATCTACAGAACTCTCCACCACAAATCAACAGAATATACATTTTTTTCAGCACCACACCACACCTATTCCAAATTGACCACATACTTGGAAGTAAAGCTCTCCTCAGCAAATGTAAAAGAACAGAAATTATAACAAACTATCTCTCAGACCACAGTGCAATCAAACTACAACTCAGGATTGAGAATCTCACTCAAAACTGCTCAACTACATGGAAACTGAACAACCTGCTCCTGAATGACTACTGGGTACATAACGAAATGAAGGCAGAAATAAAGATGTTCTTTGAAACCAACGAGAACAAAGACACAACATACCCGAATCTCTGGGACGCATTCAAAGCAGTGTGTAGAGGGAAATTTATAGAACTAAATGCCCACAAGAGAAAGCAGGAAAGATCCAAAATTGACACCCTAACATCACAATTACAAGAACTAGAAAAGCAAGAGCAAACACATTCAAAAGCTAGCAGAAGGCAAGAAATAACTAAAATCAGAGCAGAACTGAAGGAAATAGAGACACAAAAAACCCTTCAAAAATTAATGAATCCAGGAGCTGGTTTTTTGAAAGGATCAACAAAATAGATAGACCGCTAGCAAGACTAATAAAGAAAAAAAGAGAGAAGAATCAAATAGATGCAATAAAAAATGATAAAGGGGATATCACCACTGATCCCACAGAAATACAAACTACCATCAGAGAATACTACAAACACCTCTATGCAAATAAACTAGAAAATCTAGAAGACATGGATAAATTCCTCGACACATACACTCTCCCAAGACTAAACCAGGAAGAAGTTGAATCTCTGAATAGACCAATAACAGGAGCTGAAATTGTGGCAATAATCAATAGCTTACCAACCAAAAAGAGTCCAGGACCAGACGCATTCACAGCGGAATTCTACCAGAGGTACAAGGAGGAACTGGTTCCATTCCTTCTGAAACTATTCCAATCAATAGAAAAACAGGGAATCCTCCCTAACTCATTTTGTGAGGCCAGCATCATTCTGATACCAAAGCCTGGCAGAGACACAACCAAAAAAGAGAATTTTAGACCAATATCCTTGATGAACATTGATGCAAAAATCCTCAATAAAATACTGGCAAACCAAATCCAGCAGCACATCAAAAAGCTTATCCACCATGATCAAGTGGGCTTCATCCCTGGGATGCAAGGCTGGTTTAATATACGCAAATCAATAAATGTAATCCAGTATATAAACAGAGCCAAAGACAAAAACAACATGATTATCTCAATAGATGCAGAAAAGGCCTTTGACAAAATTCAACAACACTTCATGCTAAAAACTCTCAATAAATTAGGTATTGATGGGACGTATTTCAAAATAATAAGAGCTATCTATGACAAACCCACAGCCAATATCATACTGAATGGGCAAAAACTGGAAGCATTCCCTTTGAAAACTGGCACAAGACAGGGGTGCCCTCTCTCACCACTCATATTCAACATAGTGTTGGAAGCTCTGGCCAGGGCAATTAGACAGGAGAAGGAAATAAAGGGTATTCAATTAGGAAAAGAGGAAGTCAAATTGTCCCTGTTTGCAGACGACATGATTGTATATCTAGAAAACCCCATTGTCTCAGCCCAAAATCTCCTTAGGCTGATAAGCAACTTCAGCAAAGTCTCAGGATACAAAATCAACGTACAAATATCACAAGCATTCTTATACACCAACAACGGACAAACAGAGAGCCAAATCATGAGTGAACTCCTATTCACTCCATTCACAATTGCTTCAAAGAGAATAAAATACCTAGGAATCCAACTTACAAGGGATGTGAAGGACCTCTTCAAGGAGAAATACAAACCACTGCTCAAGGAAATAAAAGAGGATACAAACAAATGGAAGAACATCCCATGCTTATGGGCAGGAAGAATCAATATCGTGAAAATGGCCATACTGCCCAAGGTAATTTACAGATTCAATGCCATCCCCATCAAGCTACTAATGCCTTTCCTCACAGAATTGGAAAAAACTACTTTAAAGTTCATATGGAACCAAAAAAGAGTCCGCATCGCCAAGTCAATCCTAAGCCAAAAGAACAAAGCTGGAGGCATCACATTACCTGACTTCAAACAATACTACAAGGCTACAGTAACCAAAACAGCATGGTACTGGTACCAAAACAGAGATATAGATCAACGGAACAGAAAAGAGCCCTCAGAAATAATGCCGCATATCTACAACTATCTGATCTTTGACAAACCTGAGAAAAACAAGCAATGGGGAAAGGATTCCCTATTTAATAAATGCTGCTGGGAAAACTGGCTAGCCATATGTAGAAAGCTGAAACTGGACCCCTTCCTTCCACCTTAAACAAAAATCAATTCAAGATGGATTAAGGACTTAAACGTTAGACCTAAAACCATAAAAACCCTAGAAGAAAACCTAGGCATTACCATTCAGGACATAGGCATGGGCAAGGACTTCAAGTCTAAAACACCAAAAGCAATGGCAACAAAAGACAAAATTGACAAATGGGATCTAATTAAACTAAAGAGCTTCTGCACAGCAAAAGAAACTACCATCAGAGTGAACAGGCAACCTACAAAATGGGAGAAAATTTTCACAACCTACTCATCTGACAAAGGGCTGATATCCAGAATCTACACTGAACTCAAACAAATTTACAAGAAAAAAACAAACAACCCCATCAAACAGTGGGCGAAGGACATGAACAGACACTTCTCAAAAGAAGACATTTATGCAGCCAAAAAACACATGAAAAAATGCTCATCATCACTGCCCATCAGAGAAATGCAAATCAAAACCACAATGAGATACCATCACACACCTGTTAGAATGGCAATCATTAAAAAGTCAGGAAACAACAGGTGCTGGAGAGGATGTGGAGAAATAGGAACACTTTTACACTGTTAGTGGGACTGTAAACTAGTTCAACCACTGTGGAAGTCAGTGTGGCGATTCCTCAGGGATCTAGAACTAGAAATACCATTTGACCCAGCCATCCCATTACTGGGTATATACCCAAAGGACTATAAATCATGCTGCTATAAAGCCACATGCACACGTATGTTTATTGCGGCACTATTCACAATAGCAAAGACTTGGAACCAACCCAAATATCCAACAATGATAGACTGGATGAAGGAAATGTGGCACATATACACCATGTAATACTATGCAACCATAAAAAATGATGAGTTCATGTCCTTTGTAGGGACATGGATGAAATTGGAAATCATCATTCTCAGTAAACTGTCGCAAGAACAAAAAGCCAAACACCGCATATTCTCACTCATAGGTGGGAATTGAACAATGAGATCACATGGACACAGGAAGGGGGACATCAAACTCTGGGGACTGTTGTGGGGTGGGGGGAGGGGGGAGGGATAGCATTGGGAGATATACCTAATGCTAGCTGACGAGTTAGTGGGTGCAGTGCACCAGCATGGCACATGTATACATATGTAACTTACCTGCACAATGTGCACATGTACCTTAAAACTTAAAGTATAATAATAAAAGAAACAAAAAAAAAAGGAAAAGGTATGTTCAACTGTGTGAGTTGAATGCACACATGACAAAAATGTTTCTGAGAATCCTTCTGTCTTGTTTTTATGTGGAGACATTAACTTTTCCAACGAAGGGCCCAAAGCAGTCCAAATATCCACTTACAGATTCTAAAAAAAGAGTGTTTAAAAACTGCTCTATGAAAAGGTATGTTCATCTCTGTGAGTTGAATGCAAACATCACAAAGAAGTTTCTGAGAATGCTTCTGTCCAGTTTTTATGTGAAGATATTTCCTTTCCACCATAGGCCTCAAAGCTCTCCAAATATCCACTCGCAGATCCTACAAAATAAGTTTTTAAAAACTACACAATGAAAAGAAATGTTCAACTCTGTGGGTTGAATGCACACATTACAAAGAAGATTCTGAGAATGCTTCTGTATAGTTTTGATGGGATGATATTCCCGTTTCCAACGAAGGCCTCAAAGCAGTCCAAATATCCACTTGCCGAATCTATGAAAAGTGTGTTTCAGAACTTCTCTATGAAAAGGTATGTTAAACCCTGCGAGTTGAATGCCAACATCACAAAGAAGTTTCTGAGAATGCTTCTGTGTAGTTTTTTATGGGAACGTATTTCCTTTTCCACCATAGGCTTCAAAGCTCTCCAAATGTCCACTTGTAGATTCTACAAAAAGAGTGTTTCAAAACTGCTCTATCAAAAGAAAGGTTCAACTTTGTGAGCTGAATGCAAACATCACAAAGACGTTTCTGAAAATGCTTCTGTCTCGTTTTTATGGGAAGATATTCCAGTTTCCAACGAAGGTCTCAAAGCAGTCAAACTATACACTTGCAGATTCTACGAAAAGAGGGTTTCAAAACTTCTCTATGAAAAGATATGTTCAACTCGGTGAGGTGAATGCGAACATCACAAAGAAATTTCTGAGAATGCTTCTGTCTAATTTTTATGTGAAAATATTTCCTTTTCCACCTTCGACATCAAATCTCTACAAATGTGCACTTGGAGATTCTACAAAAAGAATGTTTCAAAGGTGCTCTATCAAAAAAAGGTTCAAATCTGTGAGTTGAATGCACACATAACAAAGAAGTTTCTGAGAATGCTTCTGACTAGTTTTTATGTGAAGTTATTCACGTTTCCCACGTAGGCCCCAAAGCAGTACAAATATCCACTTGCAGATACTTCGAAGAGAGTTTTCCAAAATTTCTCTATAAAAAGTTATGTTCAAATCTGTGAATTGAATGCACAAATCACAAAGAAGTTTCTGAGAATGCTTCTGTCTAGTTTTTATGTGAAGATACTCCCGTTTCCAATGAAGGCCTCAAAACTGTCCAAATATCCACCTGTATATTCTACAAAAGGAGTGCTTCAAATCTGCTCTATCATAAGAAAGTTTCAAATCTGTGCGTTGAATGCACACATCACAAAGAAGTTTCTGAGAATACTTCTGTCTAGTTTTCATGAGAGTATATTCCCGTTTCCAACGAAGGCCTAAAAACAGTCCAAATATCCACTTGCAGATTCTACGAAAAGAGTGTTTCAAAACTGCTCTATTAAAAGGTATGTTCAACTCTGTGAGTTGAATGCAAACATCACAAAGACGTTTCTGAGACTAATTCTGTCCAGTTTTTAAGTGAAGATATTTCCTTTTTCTACCATAGGCCTAAAAGCTTTCCAAATGTCCACTTGCAGATACTACAAAAAGTGTGTTTCAAAACTGTTCTATCAAAACAAAGGTTGAACTCTGTGAGATGAATGCACACATCACAAAGAAGTTTCTGAGAATGCTTGTGTCTAGTTTTTATGTGAAGATATTCCCTTTTCTAACTAAGGCCTCAAAGCAGTCCAAATATCCAATTGCACATTTTAGGAAAATAGTGTTTCAAAACTGCTGTATGAAAGGTATGTTCAACTCTGTGAGTTGAATGCAAACATCCAAAGAAGTTTCTGAGAATGCTTCTGTCTAGTTTTTATGTGAATATATTTCCTTTTCCACCATAAGCCTCAAAGCTATCCAAATGTCCACTTGCAGATACTACAAAAATATTGTTTCAAAACTGCTCTATCAAAAGAAAGATTTAACTCTGTGAGTTGAATGCACACCTCACAAAGAAGTTTCTGAGAATGCTTTTGTCTGTTTTTTAATGTGAATATGTTCCCGTTTCTAACAAAATCCGTGAAGCTGTCCAAATATCCACTTGCAGATTCTATGACAAGAGTGTTTCAAAACTGCTCTATGAAAAGGTATGTTCAACTCAGTGAGTTGAATGCAAACATCACAAAGAAGTTTCTGAGAATTATTCTGCCTGGTTTTTATGTGAAGACATTACCCTTTCCACCAAAGGCCTCAAAGCTTTCTAAATGTCCACTTGCAGATTCTACAAAAAGTTGTTTCAAAACTGTTCTATCAAAAGAAAGTTTCAACTCTGTGAGTTGAATGCACAAATCACAAAGTAGTTTCTGAGAATGCCTCTGTCTAGTTTTTATGTGTAGATATTCCTTTTTCCAACGAAGGCCTCAAAGCAGTCCAAATATCCACTTGCAGATTCTATGAAAAGAGTGTTTCCTGTAATCCCAGCACTTTGGGAGGCCGAGGCGGGTGGATCATGAGGTCAGGAGATCGAGACCATCCTGGCTAACAAGGTGAAACCCCGTCTCTACTAAAAATACAAAAAAAAATTAGCCGGGCGCGGTGGCGGGCGCCTGTAGTCCCAGCTACTCGGGAGGGTGAGGCAGGAGAATGGCGTGAACCCGGGAAGCGGAGCTTGCAGTGAGCCGAGATTGCGCCACTGCAGTCCGCAGTCCCACCTGGGCGACAGAGCGAGACTCCGTCTCAAAAAAAAAAAAAAAAAAAAAAAAAAAAAAGAAAAGAGTGTTTCAAACCTGCTCTATGAAAAGGTATGTTCAAATCTGTAAGTTGAATGCAAACACTACAAAGATGTTTCTGAGAATCCCTCTGTCTAGTTTTTATGTGAAGATATTTCCTTTTCCACTGTAGGCCTTAAAACTCTCCAAATGTTCACTTGCAGATTGTACAAAAAGAGAGTTTCAAAACTGCTCTATCAAAAGAAAGGTTCAACTCTGTGAGTTGAATGCACACATCACAAAGAAGTTTCTGAGAATGCTGCTGTCTAGCTTTTAAGTGAGGATATTCCCATTTCCAACAAAGCCCTCAAAGCAGTCCAAATATCCACTTGCAGATTCTGCGAAAAGAGTGTGTCAAAACCGCTCTATGAAAAGGTATGTTCAATGCTGTGAGTTGAATGCAAACATCAAAAAGAAGTTTCTGAGAATGCTTCTGTCTGGTTTTTATGTGAAGATATTCCCGTTTCCAAGGAAGGCCTCACAGAGTCCAAATATCCACTTGCAGATTCTACAAAAAGAGTGTTTCAAAACTTCTGTATGAAAACGTATGTTCAACTCTGTGAGTTGAATTCAGCCATCACAAAGTAGTTTCTGAGAACGCTTCTGTCAAGTTTTCATGTGAAGATATTTCCTTTCCACCATAGACCTCAAAGCTCTCCATATATCCACTTGCAGATTCTACAAAATTAGTGTTTCAAATCTGCTCTATGACAAGAAATGTTCAACTCTGTGAGTTGAATGCATACATCACAAAGATGGTTCAGAGAATGTTTCTTTCTAGTTCTCATGTGAAGATATTCCCATTTACAACTAAGGCCTCAAGGCAGTCCAAATACGCATTTGCAGATTCCACGAAAAGACTTTTTCAAAACTGATCTATGAAAAGGTATGTTCAACTCTGTGAGTTGAATGCAAACATCACAAAGAGGTTTCTGATAATGCATCTGTCTGGATTTTCTGTGAAGATATTTCTTTTTCCACCATAGGCTACAAATATTTCCAAAGGTCCACTTGCAGTTTCTACAAAAAGAGTGTTTCAAACCTATGCTATCAAAAGAAAGGTTCAACTCTGTGAGATGAAAGCACACATCACGAAGAAGTTTCTGAGAATGCTTCTGTCCGCTTTTTATGTTAAGATATTCCCGTTTCCAAAGAAGGCCTCAAAGCAGTCCAAATATCTACTTGCAGATTCTAAGAACAGAGTGTTTCAAAACTGCTCTATGAAAAGGTATGTTCAACTCTGTGAGTTGAATGCAAACATCACAAAGAAGTTTCTGCGAATGCTTCTGTTTAGTTTTTATGTGAAGATATTTCCTTTTCCACCACAGGCCTCAAAGCCTTTCAAATGTCCACTTGCAGATTCTACAAAAAGAGTGTTTCAAAACTGTCCTATCAAAAGGAACGTTTAAATCTGTGAGTTGAATGCACACATCCCAAAGAAGTTTCTGAGAATGCTTCTGTCTGGTTTTTATGTGAAGATATTTCAGTTTACAACGTAGGCCTCAATGCAGTCCAAATATCCACTTGGAGATTCTACGAAAAGAGTGTTTCAAAACTGCTCTATGAAAAGGTATGTTCAACTCTGTCAGTTGAATGCAAAATTCTCAAAGAAGTTTATGAGAATGCTTCTGTCTACTTTTTATATGAAGATATTTCCTTTCCAACATAGGCCTCAAAGCTCTGCAAATGTCCACTTGCAGATCCTACAAAATGAGTGTTTCAAAACTGCTCCATAAAAACAAAGGTTCAACTCTGTAAGTTGAATGCACACATCACAGAGAAGTTTCTGAGAATTCTTCTTTCTAGTTTTTATGTGAAGATATTCCCGTTTACAACGAAGGCCTCAAAGCAGTCCAAATATCCACTTGCAGATCCTACGAAAAGAGTGTTTCAAAACTGTTCTATGAAAAGGTATCTTCAACTCTGTGAGTTGAATGCAAACATCACAAAGAAGTTCCTGAGAATGCTTTTGTCTAGTTTTTATGTGAAGGTATTTCCTTTCCACCATAGGCCTCAAAACTCTGCAAATGTCCAATTGCAGATCCTACAAAATGATTGTTTCAAGACTGCTCTACCAAAGAAAGGTTCAACTCTGTGAGTTGAATTCACACATCACAAAGAAGTTTCTGAGAATGCTTCTGCCTAGTTTTTATGAGAAGATATTCCCGTTTCCAATGAAGGCCTCTAAGCAGTACAAATATACACTTGCAGATACAAGGATAAGAGTGATTTGAAACCGCTCTATGAAAAAGTATGTTCAACACTGTGAGTTAAATGCAGACATCACAAAGAAGTTTGTGAGAATGCTTCAGTTTAATTTTTATGTGAAGATATTTCCTTTCCACCATAGGCCTCAAAGCTCTCCAAATGTCCACTTGCAGATCCTGCAAAGTGAGTGTTTCAAAACTCCTCTATCAAAAGAAAGTTTCAACTCTGTGAGTTTAATGCACACATCACAAAGAAGTTTTTGGGAATTTTTCTGTCTAGTTTTTATGTGAAGATATTCCCGTTTCCAACGAAGGCCTCATAGCGGTGCAAATATCCACTTGCAGATCCGAAGAAAAGAGTGTTTCAAAACTGCTCTATGAAAATGTATGTTCAACTCTGTGAGTTGAATGCAAACATCAGAAAAAAGTTTCTAAGAATGCTTCTGTCTAGTTTTTATGTGAAGATATTTTCTTTTCCACCCTAGGTCTCATATCTTTCCAAATGACCACTTCCAGATTCTACAAAAAGAGTGTTTCATAACTGCTATATCAAAACAAAGGTTCAATTCTGTGAGTTAAATGCACACATCACAATGAAGTTTCTGAGAATGCTTCTGTCTAGTTTTTATGGAAAGACATTCCCGTTTCCAAGGAAGGCCTCAAAGCAGTCCAAATATCCACTTGCAGATCCTACAAACAGAGAGTTTCAAAACTGCTCTATGAAAAGTTATGTTTAACTCTATGAGTTGAATGCACACATCACAAAGAAGTTTCTGAGAATGCTTGTTTCCAGGTTTTATGTGAAGATATTCCCATTTCCAACGAAGGCCTCAAAGCAGTCCAAATATCCAATTGCATATTCTATGAAAAGAGTGTTTCAAAGCTGCTCTATGAAAAGGTTTGTTCAACTCTTTGAGATGAATGCAAACATCACTAAGAAATTTCTGAGAATGCTTCTATCTAGTTTTTATGTGAAGATATTTCCTTTTCCACAATAGGCCTCAAAGCTCTCAAAATGTCCACTTTGAGATTCTACAAAACAGAGTTTCAAAACAGCTCTATCAAAAGAAAGGTTCAAATCTGTGAGTTTAATGCACACATCACAAAGAAGTTCCTGAGAATCCTTCTGTCTTGTTTTTATGTGAAGATATTTCCGTTTCCATCAATAGCCTCAAAGCAGTTCAAATATCCACTTGCAGATTCTACGAAAAGAGTGTTTCAAAACTGCACTATGAAAAAGTATGTTCAACTCTGTGAGTTGAAAGTAAACATCACTAAGAAGTTTCTGAGAATGCTTCTGTCTAGTGTTATGGGAAGATATTCCCTTTTCCACAGTAGGCCTCTAAGTTCTCCAAATGTCCACTTGGAGATTCTACAAAGAGAGTATTTCAAAACAGCTCTATCAAAAGAAAGGTTCAAATGTGTGAGTTGAAAGTGCACATTACAAAGAAGTTTCTGAGAAGGCTTCTGTCTAGTTTTTATGTGAACATATTTTCTTTTCCACCTTAGGCTTCATATCTTTCCAAATGTCCACTTGCAAATTCTGCAAAAAGAGAGTTTCATAACTGATCTATCAAAAGAAAGGTTCAAATCTGTGAGTTAAATGCACACATCACAATGGAGTTTCTGAGAATCATTCTGTCTAGTTTTTATGGGAAGACATTCCCGTTTCCAAGGAAGACCTCAAAGCAGTCCAAATATCCACTTGCAGATTCTACGAAAAGAGAGTTTCAAAACTGCTCTATGAAAAGGTATGTTTAACTCTATGAGTTGAATGCACACATCACAAAGAAGTTTCTGAGAATGCTTGTTTCCAGCTTTTATGTGAAGATATTCTCATTTCCAACGAAGGCCTCAAAGCAGTCCAAATATCCACTTGTAGATTCTACGAAAAGAGTGTTTCAAAACTGCTCTATGAAAACTTACGTTTAACTCTGTGAGTTGAATGCACACATCACAAAGAAGTTTCTGAGAATGCTTCTGTCTAGTTTTTATGTGAAGATATTCCCGTTTCCAACGAAGGCCTCAAAGCCGTCCAAGTATCCACTTGCATATTCTATGAAAAGAGTGTTTCAAAACTGCTCTATGAAAAGGTTTGTTCAATCCTTTGAATTGAATGCAAACATTACAGAGAAGTTTTTGAAAATGCTTCTGTCTAGTTTTTATGTGAAGATATTTCCTTTTCCACCGTAGGCCTCAAAGCTCTCCAAATGTCCACTTGGAGATTCTACAAAAAGAGAGTTTCAAAACTGCTCTATCAAAAGAAAGGTTCAAATCCATGAGTTTAATGCACACATCCTAAAGAAGTTTCTGAGAATACTTCTGTCTTGTTTTTATGTGAATATATTCCCGTTTCCATCTAAATCCTCAAAGCAGTCCATATATCCACTTGCAGATTCTACGAAAAGAGTGTTTCAAAACTGCTTTATGAAAAGGCATGTTCATCTCCATGAGTTGAATGCAAACAACACAAAGAAGTTTCTGAGAATGCTTCTGTCTGGTTTTTATGTGAAGATATTTCCTTTTCCACCATAGACCTCAAAGCTCTCCAAGTGTCCACTTCCAGATCCTACAAAAAGAATGTTTCAAAACTGCTCTATGAAAAGGAAGGTTGAATTCTTTGAGTTGAATGCACGCATCACAAGGTAGTTTCTGAGAATGCTTCTGTCTAGTTTTTATGTGAAGATATTTCCATTTACAACGAAGGCCTCAAAGCAATCCAAATATCCACCTGCAGATTCTACGAAAAGTGTTTCAAAACTGCTCTCTGAAAAGATGTGTTCAACTCTGTGAGTGGAATGCAAATATCAAAAAGATGTTTCTGAGAATGCTTCTGTCCAGTTGTTATGTGAAGATATTTCCTTTTCCACCATAGGCCTCAAAGCTCTCCAAATGTACACCTGCAGATTCTACAAAAAGAGTTTTTCATAACTGCTCTGTCAAAAGAAGGGTTCAGTTCTGTGAGTTGAATGCACACATCACAATGAAGGTTCTGAGAATGCTTCTGTCTAGTTTTTAGGGAAAGACATTCCTGTTTCCAAGGAAGGCCCCAAAGCAGTCCAAATATCCACCTGCAAATTCTATGAGAAGAGTGTTTCATAACTGGTCTATGAACAGGTAAGTTCAACTCTGTGAGTTGAATGCAAACATCAAAAAGAAGTTTCTGAGAATGCTTCTGTCTGGATTTTCTGTGTAGATATTTACTTTTCCACCATAGGTCTCAAAGCTCTCCAAATGTCCACTTGCAGATTCTACAAAAAGAGTGTTTCAAAACTGCTCTATCAAAAGAAAGGTTCAACTCTGTGAGTTGAATGCGCACATCACAAAGAAGTTACTGTGAATGCTTCCATCATGTTTTTATGTGAAGATATTCTTGTTTCCAAAGAAGGTCTCAAAGCATTCCAAATATCCACTTGCAGATTCTACGAGAAGAGTGTTTCATAACTGCTGTATGAACAGGTAAGTTCAACTCTGTGAGTTGAATGCAAACATCAGAAAAAAGTTTCTGAGAATGCTTCTCTCTGGATTTTCTTTGTAGATATATACTTTTCCACCATAGGCCTCAAAGCAGTCCAAATATACACTTGCCGATTCTATGAAAAGAGTGTTTCAAAACTGCTCAATAAAAAGGTATGTTGAACTCTATGAGTTGAATGCAGACTTCACAGAGAAGTTTCTTGGAATGCTTCTGTCTACTTTTTATGTCAAGATATTCCCTTTTCCAACGAAAGCCTCAAAGCAGTCCAAATATTCAATTGCAGATTCTACGACGAGAGTGTTTCAAAACTGCTCTATGAAAAGAAAGGTTCAAATCTGTGAGTTGAATGCACACATCACAAAGAAGTTTCTGAGAATGCTTATGTCTAGTTTTTATGTGAAGATATTCCCGTTTACAACGAAGGCCTCAAAGCAGTCCAAATATCCACTTGCATATACTACGAAAAGAGTGTTTCAAAACTGATCTATGAAAAGGTATGTTCAAATTTGTGAGTCGAATGTAAACATCACAAAGAAGTCACTGAGAAAGCTTCTGTCTAGTTTTTATGTGTAGATATTTCGTTTTCCACCATAGGCCTCAAAGCTCTCCAAATGTCAAATTGCAGATTCCACAAAAAGAGTGTTCCAACTACTCTATCAAGAAAAAGTTTCAACTCTGTGTGTTGAATGCCCACATCACAAAGAAGTTTCTGAGAATACTTCTGTCTATTTTTTATGTGAAGATCTTCCCGTTTCCAATGGAGGCCTCAAAGCAGTGCAAATATCCACTTGCAGATTCTAAGAAAAGAGTGTTTTAAAACTGCTGTAAGAAAGGTATGTTCAACTCTCTGAGTTGAATGCAAACATCACAAAGAAGTTTCTGAGCATGCTTCTGTCTAGTTTTTATGTGAAGATATTTCCTTTTCCACTATAGGCCTCCATGCTTTCCCAATGTCCATGTGCAGATTCTACAAAAAGAGGGCTTCAAAACTGCTCTATCAAAAGAAAGAAAGGTTCAACATTGTGAGTTAAATGCACACATCACAAAGACGTTTTGGAGAATGCTTCTGTCTAGTTTTTATGTGAGGATATTCCCATTTCCAACGAAGGCCTCAAAGCCGTCCAAATATCCACTTGCAGATTCTACGAAGAGAGTTTCAAAACCGCTCTATGAAAAGGTATCTTTATCTCTATGAGTTGAATGCACACATAACAAAGTAGTTTCTGAGAATGCTTGTGTCCTGTTTTCATGTGAAGATGTTCCCGTTTCCAACAAAGGCCTCAAAGCAGTCCAAATATCCACTTGCAGATTCTATGAAAAGAGATTTTCAATACTGCTCTATGAAAAGTTATGTTCAACTCTGAGTTTAATGCAAACATCACAAAGAAGTTTCTGAGAATGCTTCTGTCTTGTTTATATGTGAAGGAGAAATAGAATACTTTTCAGAAATGCAAATGCTGAGAGATTTTGTCACCACCAGGCCTGCCTTAAAAGAGCTCCTGAATGAAGCGCTAAACATGGAAAAGATTAGCTGGTACCAGCCACTGCAAAATCATGCCAAAATGTAAAGACCATAGAGACTAGGAAGAAACTGCATCAACTAATGAGCAAAATAACCAGCTAATATCATAATGACAGGTTCAAATTCAAACATAACCATATTAACTTTAAATGTAAATGGACTAAATGCTCCAATTAAAAGACACAGACTGGCAAATTGGATAAAGAGTCAAGACCCATCAGTGTGCTGTATTCAGGAAACCCATCTCATGTGCAGAGACACACATAGGCTCAAAATAAAAGGATGGAGGAAGATCTACCAAGCAAGTGGAAAATAAAATAAGGCAGGGGTTGCAATCCTAGTCTGATAAAACAGACCTTAAACCAACAAAGATCAAAAGAGACAAAGAAGGCCATTACATAATGGTAAAGGGATCAATTCAACAAGAAGAGCTAACTATCCTCAATATACATGCACCTAATACAGGAGCACCCAGATTCATAAAGCAAGTCCTGAGTGACCTAAAAGGAGACTTAGACTCCCACACATTAATAATGGGAGATTTTAACACCCCTCTGTCAATATTAGACAGATCAACGAGACAGAAACTCAACAAGGATACTCAGGAATTGAATTCAGCTCTGCACCAAGCGGACCTAATAGACATCTACAGAACTCTCCACCCCAAATCAACAGAATATACATATTTCCACCACCACACCACACTTATTCCAAAATTGACCACATACTTGGAAGTAAAGCTATCCTCAGCAAATGTAAAAGAACAGAAATTATAACAAACTATCTCTCAGACCACAGTGCAATCAAACTAGAACTCAGGATTAAGAATCTCACTCAAAACCGCTCAACTACATGGAAACTGAACAACCTGCTCCTGAATGACTACTGGGTACATAACGAAATGAAGGCAGAAATAAACATGTTCCTTGAAACCAATGAGAACAAAGACGCAATATACCAGAATCTCTGGGATGCATTCAAAGCAGTGTGTAGAGGGAAATTTATAGAACTAAATGCCCACAAGAGAAAGCAGGAAAGATCCAAAATTGACACCCTAACATCACAACTAAAAGAACTAGAGAAGCCAGAGCAAACACATTCAAAAGCTAGCAGAAGGCAAGAAATAACTAAAATCAGAGCAGAACTGAAGGAAATAGAGACACAAAAAACCTTCAAAAAATTAATGAATCCAGGAGCTGGTTTTTTCTAAAAGATCAACAAAATTGATAGACCGCGACCAAGACTAGTAAAGAAAAAAAGAGAGAAGAATCAAATAGATGCAATAAAAAATGATAAATGGGATATAACCACGAATCCCACAGAAATACAAACTACCACCAGAGAATACTACAAAAACCTCTATGCAAATAAGCTAGAAAATCTAGAAGAAATGGATAAATTCCTAGACACATACACTCTCCCAAGACTAAACCAAAAAGAATTTGAATGTCTGAATAGACCAATAACAAGATCTGAAATTGTGGCAATAATCAATAGCTTATCAACCAAAAAGAGTCCATGACCAGATGGATTCACAGCCAAATTCTACCAGAGGTACAAGGAGGAACTGGTACCATTCGTTCTGAAACTATTCCAATCAATAGAAAAAGACGGAATCCTCCCTAACTCATTTTATGAGGCCAGCATCATCCTGATACCAAAGCCCGGCAGAGACACAACCAAAAAAGAGAAATTTAGACCAATAACGTTGATGAACATTGTGGCAAAAATCCTCAATAAAATACTGGCAAACTGAATCCAGCAGCACATCAAAAAGCTTATCCACCATGATCAAGTGGGCTTCATGCATGGGATGCAAGGCTGGTCCATATAGGCAAATCAATAAATGTAATCCAGCATATAAACAGAACCAAAGATCAAAACCACATGATTATCTCAATAGATGCAGAAAAGGCCTTTGACAAAATTCAACAACACTTCATGCTAAAAACTCTCAATAAATTAGGTATTGATGGGACGTATTTCAAAATAATAAGAGCTATCTATGACAAACACACAGCCAATATCATACTGAATGGGCAAAAACTGGAAGCATTCCCTTTGAAAACTGGCACAAGATAGGGATGCACTCTCTCACCACTCCTATTCAACATAGTGTTGGAAGCTCTGGCCAGGGCAATTAGACAGGAGAAGGAAATAAAGGATATTCAATTAGGAAAAGAGGAAGTCAAATTGTCCCTGTTTGCAGACGACATGTTTGTATATCTAGAAAACCCCATTGTCTCAGCCCAAAATCTCCTTAAGCTGATAAGCAACTTCAGCAAATTCTCAGGATACAAAATCAATGTACAAAAATCACAAGTATTCTTATACATCAACAACAGACAAACAGAGAGCCAAATCATGAGTGAACTCCCATTCACAATTGCTTCAAAGAGAATAAAATACCTAGGAATCCAACTTACAAGGGATGTGAAGGACCTCTTCAAGGAGAAATACAAACCACTGCTCAAGGAAATAAAAGAGGATACAAACAAATGGAAGAACATTCCATGCTCATGGATAGGAAGAATCAATATCGTGAAAATGGCCATACTGCCCAAGGTAATTTACAGATTCAATGCCATCTCCATCAAGCTACCAATCACTTTCTCCTCAGAATTGGAAAATAGTACTTTAAAGTTCATACGGAACCAAAAAAGAGCCCGCACCACCAAGTCAATCCTAAGCCAAAAGAACAAAGCTGGAAGCATCACACTACCTGACTTCAAACAATACTACAGGCTACAGTAACCAAAACAGCATGGTACTGGTACCAAAACAGAGATATAGATCAATGGAACAGAACAGAGCCCTCAGAAATAATGCCGCATATCTACAACTATCTGATCTTTGACAAACCTGAGAAAAACAATCAATGAGGAAAGGATTCCCTATTTAATAAATGCTACTGGGAAAACTGGCTGGCCATATGTAGAAAGCTGAAACTGGATCCCTTCCTTACACCTTATACAAAAATCAATTAAAGATGGATTAAAGACTTAAATGTTAGACCTAAAACCATAAAAACCCTAGAAGGAAACCTAGGCATTGCCATTCAGGACATAGGCATGGGCAAGGACTTCATGTCTAAAACACCAAAAGCAATGGCAACAAAAGACAAAATTGACAAATGGGATCTAATTAAACTAAAGAGCTTCTGCACAGCAAAGAAACTACCATCAGAGTGAACAGGCAACCTACAAAATGGGAGAAAATTTTCACAACCTACTCTTCTGACAAAGGGCTGATATCCAGAATCTATGATGAACTCAAACAAATTTACAAGAAAAAAACAAACAACCCCATCAAAAAGTGGGTGAAGGACATGAATAGACACTTCTCAAAAGAAGACATTTATGCAGCCAAAAAACACATGAAAAAATGCTCACCATCACTGGCCATCGGAGAAATTCAAATCAAAACCACAATGAGATACCATCTCACACCAGTGAGAATGGCAATCATTAAAAAGTCAGGGAACAACAGGTGCTGGAGAGGATGTGGAGAAATAGGAACACTTTTACACTGTTGGTGGGACTATAAACTAGTTCAACCATTGTGGAAGTCAGTGTGGCGATTCCTCAGTGATCTAGAACTAGAAATACCATTTGACCCAGCCATCCCATTACTGTGTATGTACCCAAAGAACTATAAATCATGCTGCTATAAAGACACATGCACATGTATGTTTTTTGCGGCATTATTCACAATAGCAAAGACTTGGAACCAACCCAAATGTCCAACAATGATAGACTGGATGAAGGAAATGTGGCACATATACACCATGGAATACTATGCAGCCATAAACAATGATGAGTTCACGTCCTTTGTAGGGACATGGATGAAATTGGAAATCATCATTCTCAGTAAACTATCGCAAGAACAAAAAGCCAAACACTGCATATTCTCACTCATAGGTGGTAATTGAACAATGAGAACACATGGACACAGGAAGAGGAACATCACACACTAGGGCCTGTTTGGGTTGGGGGGAGGGGGGAGGGATAGCATTGGGAGATATACCTAATGTTAGATGACGAGTTAGTGGTTGCAGCGCACCAGCATGTCACATGTATACATATGTAACTAACCTGCACATTGTTCACATGTACCCTAAAACTTGAAGTACAATAATAATAAATAAATGAAAATAAAAAAAAGAAAAAGAGTGTTTCAAAACTACTCTATCAACAGAAAATTTCAACTCTGTGAGTTGAATGCGCACACTACCAAAAAGTTTCTGAGAATGCTTCTGTCTAGTTTTTATGTGAGGATATTTCCTTTTCCACCATAGGCCTCAAAGCACTCCAAATATCCACATTCAGTTTCTAGAAAAAGAGTATTTCAAAACTTCTCTATCAAAAAAATGTTCAACACTGTGAGTTGAATGCACATATCACAAAGAAGTTTCTGACAATGCTTCTGTCTAGTTTTTATGTGAAGATATTTCCTTTCCCACCATAGGCCTCAAAGCGCTCTAAATATCCACTTGCAGATTCCACAAAAAGAGTGTTTCAAAACTGCTCTAACAAAAGAAAGGTTCATCTTTGTGAGATGAATGAACACATCAGAAAGAAGTTTCTAAGAATGTTTCTGCTCTACTTTTTATGTGAAGGTGTTTCCTTTTCCACCATAGGCCTCAAAGCGCTCTTAATATCCACTTGCAGATTCCACAAAAAGAGTGTTTCAAAACTGCTCTAACAAAACAAAGGTTCATCTTTGTGAGATGAATGAACACATCAGAAAGAAGTTTCTAAGAATGTTTCTGCTCTACTTTTTATGTGAAGGTGTTTCCTTTTCCACCATAGGCCTCAAAGCACTCCAAATATCCACTTGCAGATTCTACAAAAAGAGTGTTTCAAAACTGCTCAATCAAAGGAAAATTTCAACTCTGTGAGTTGAATACACACAACACAAAGAAGTTTCTGAGAATGCTTCTGTCTAGTTTTTATATGATGATATTTCCTTTTCCACCATAGGCCTCAGAGCACTCCAAATATCTACTTGCAGATCCTACAAAAAGAGTGTTTCAAAACTGCTCTATCAAAAGAAAGGTTCAGCTCTGTGCGTTGAATTCACTCATCACAAAGAAGTTTCGGAGAATGCTTCTCTCTAGTTTTTATGTGAAGATATTTCCTTTACCACCATAGGCCTCAAAGCGCTCCAAATATGCACTTGCAGATTCTAAAAAAAGAGTGTTTCAAAACTGCTCTATCAAAAGGAAGGTTCAACTCTCTGAGTTGAATGGACTTATCACCAAGAAGTTTCTGAGAATGCATCTGTCCAGTTTTTATGTGAAGATATTTCCTTTTCTGCCAAAGGCCTCAAATCCACCAAATATCCACTTGCAGATTCTACAGAAAGAGTGTTTCAAAACTGATCTATGAACAGAAAGTACCAGCTCTGTGAGTTGAATGCACACATCTCAAAGAAGTTTCTGAGAATGCTCCTAATTTTTATGTGAAGATATTGCCTTTTTCACCATAGGCCTCAAAACGCTCCAAATATCCACATTCAGATTCTAGAAAGAGTGCGTCAAAACTACTCTATCCAAAAAAAGAATCTTCAACTCTGTGATGTGAATGCTCACATCAAAAAGAAGTTTCTGACAATGCTTCCGTCTAGTTTTTATGTCAAGATATTATCTTTTCCACCATAGGCCTCAAATCGCTCCAAATATCCACTTACAGATTCTACAAAAAGAGTGTTTCAAAACTACTCAATCAAAGGAAATATTCAACTCAGTGAGTTGAATGCACACAACACAAAGATGTTTCTGAGAATGCTTCAGTCAAGTTTTTATGTGAGGATATTTACTTTTCCAACATAGGCCTCAAATCTCAAATCGCTCCAGAATCCATTTGAAGAATCTACGAAAAGAGTGTTTCAAAATTGCTCTATAAAAAGAAACGTTCAACTCTTTGAATAGAATGCACTCATCACAAAGTAGTTTCTGAGAATGTTTCTGTCAACTTTTTATGTGAAGATATTTTGTTTTCCTCCATAGGCCACAAAGCACTCCAAATATCCACCTGCAGATCCTAAAAAAAAAGTGTTTCAAAACTGCTCTTCAAAACAAAGGTTCAACACTGCGAGTTGAATGCACATATGACAAGAAAGATTCTGAGAATGCATCTGTCTAGTTTTTATGTAAAGATAGTTCCTATTACACCATAGTCATCAAAGCGCATCAAATATCCACTGGCGGATTGTACAAAAACAGTGTTCCAAAACTGCTCAATCAAAGGAATGGTTCAACTCTGTGCGTTGAATTCACACAACACAAACAAGTCTCTGAGAATGCTTCTGTCTAGTTTTTACGTGAGGATATTTGCTTTTCAACCATAGGCCTCAAAGCACTGCAAATATCCAATTGCAGATTCAACAAAAAGTGTGTTTCAAAACTGATCTATCTAAAGAAAGTTTCAATAGTGTGAGTTGAATGCACACATCACAAAGGAGTTTCTAAGAATGCTTCTGCTCCAGTTTTTTTGTGAAGGTGTTTCCTTTCCACCATAGGCCTCAAAGTGCTCCAAATATCCACTTGCAGATACTACAAAAAGACTTTTTCAAAACTGCTAAATCAAAGGAAAAGTACAACTCTGTGAGGTGAATGCACACAACACAAATAAGTTTCTGACAATGCTTCTGCCTAGTTTTTATTTGAAGATATTTCCATTTCCACCATAGGCCTCAAAGCACTCCAAATAATCACTCGCAGATACTACAAAAAGAGTGTTTCAAAACTGCTCTATCAATAGAAAGGTTCAACTATGTGAGTTGAATGCACCTAGCACAAAGAAGTTTCTGAGAATGCTTCTGTCTAGTTTTTATATGAGGACATTTCCTTTTCAACACAGGCCTCCAAGCGCTCCAAAATCCACTTGCAGATTCTACCAAAAGTGTGTTTCAAAACTCCTCTATCAAAGGAAAAGTTCAACTTTGTGAGTTGAATATACTCATCACGAAGAAGTTTCTGAGAATGCTTCCGTCTAGTTTTTATGTGAAGATATGCCCTTTTCCATCATAGGCCACAAAATGCTCCTAGTTTCCACTTGCAGATTGTAAAAAAAAGAGGGTTTCAAAACTGCTCTATCAAAAGAAAGGTTCAACGCTGTGAGTTGAATACACACATCACAAAAAAGTTTCTGAGAATGCTTCTGTCTAGTTTTTATGTGAAGATATTTCCTTTTCCAACATAGGCCTCAAAGCGCTCCAAATATCCACTTTCGGATTCCAGAAACAGAGTGTTTTAAAACTGCTCTATCAACAGAAATGTCCAACTCTGTGAGTTGAATGCACTCATCACAAAGAAGTTTCTGAGAATTTTTCTGTCTAGTTTGTATGTGAAGATATTTCCTTTTGCACCATAAGCCTCAAAGCGCTCCAAATATCTACTTGCAGATTCTACAAAAAGAGTGTTTCAAAACTGCTCTATGAAAGAAAGGTTCAACTCTGTGAGTTGAATGCACACAACACAAACAAGTTTCTGAGAATGCTGCTGTCTAGTTTATATGTGCGGATATTTCCTTTCCCACCATAGGCATCAAAGAGCTCCAAATATCCAATTGCAGATTCTACAAAAAGAGTGTTTCAAAACTGCTCTATCAAAGAAAGGTTCAACTCTGTGAGTTGAATGCACAAATCACAAAGAAGTTTCTGAGAATGCCTCTGCTCTAGTTATTTTGTGAAGGTGTTTCCTTTTCCACTATAGGCCTCAAAGCGCTCCAAATATCCACTCTCCGATTCCAGAAAAAGAGTGTTTTAAAACTGCTCTATCAACAGAAAGGTTTATCTCTGTGAGTTGAATGCACTTATCACAAAGAAGTTTCTGAGAATGCTTCTGTCTAGTTTTTCTGTGAAGATATTTCCTTTTCCACCATAGGCCAGTAAGCACTCTTAATAACAACTTGCAGACACTGGAAGAAGACTGTTTCAAAACTGCTCTATCAACAGAAAGGTTCAACTCTGTGAGTTGAATGCACACATCCCAAAGAAGTTTCTGAGAATGCTTCTGTCTAGTTTTTATGTGAAGATATTTCCTTTTACACCATAGGCCTCAAACTGCTCCAAATATCCACTTGCAGATTCTACAAAAAGACTTTTTTAAAACTGCTCAATCAAAGAAAAGTTTCAATTCTGTGAGTTGAATGCACACAACACAAACAAGTTTCTGAGAATGCTGCTGTCTAGATTTTATGTGTGGATATTTCCTTTTCCACCATAGGCATCAAAGCGCTCCAAATATCCAATTGCAGATTCTACAAAAATAGTGTTTCAAAACTGCTCTATCAAAGAAAGGTTCAATTCTGTGAGTTGAATGCACACATCACAAAGAAGTTTCTGAGAATGCTTCTGCTCTAGTTTTTTTGTGAAGGTGTTTCCTTTTCCACCATAGGCCTTAAAGCGCTCCAAATATCCACTTTGAGATTCCAGAAAAAGAGTGTTTTAAAACTCCTCTATCAAAGAAATGATCAACTCCGTGAGTTGAGTGCACTCATCACAAAGATATTTCTGAGAATGCTTCCGTCTAGTTTTTATGTGAAGATATTTCCTTTTCCACCAGAGGCCTCAAAGCACTCCAAATATCCACTTTCAGATTCTAGAAAAAGAGTGTTTTAAAACTGCTCTATCAACAGAAATGTTCAACTCTGTGAGTTGAATGCACTTATCACAAAGAAGTTTCTGAGAATGCTTCTGTCTAGTTTTTATGTGAAGATATTTCCTTTTCCACCGTAAGCCTCAAAGCGCTCCATATATCTACTTGCAGATTCTACAAAAAGAGAGTTTCAAAACTGCTCTACAAAAGAAAGGTTCAACTCTGTGACTTGAATGCACACATCACAAAGAAGTTTCAGAGAATGCTTCTGTCTAGTTGTTATGTGAAGATATTTCCTTTTACACCATAGGCTTCAAACGCTCCAAATATCCGCTTGCAGATGCTGCAAAAGGACTTTTTCAAAACTGCTCAATCAAAGGAAAGTTTCAACTCTGTGAGTTGAATGCACACAACACAAACAAGTTTCTGAGAATGCTGCTGTCTACTTTTTATGTGCGGATATTTCCTTTTCCATCGTAAGCCTCAAAGCGCTCCATATATCTACTTGCAGATTCTACAAAAAGAGTGTTTCAAAACTGCTCTACAAAAGAAAGGTTCAACTCTGTGACTTGAATGCACACATCACAAAGAAGTTTCAGAGAATGCTTCTGTCTAGTTTTTATGTGAAGATATTTCCTTTTACACCATAGGCCTCAAACGCTCCAAATATCCACTTGCAGATTCTGCAAAAGGACTTTTTCAAAACTGCTCAATCAAAGGAAAGTTTCAACTCTGTGAGTTGAATGCACACAACACAAACAAGTTTCTGAGAATGCTGCTGTCTAGTTTTTATGTGTGGATATTTCCTTTTCCACCATAGGCATCAAAGAGCTCCAAATATCCAATTGCAGAAACAAAAAGAGTGTTTCAAAACTGCTCTATCAAAGAAAGGTTCAACTCTGTGAGTTGAATGCACACATCACAAAGAAGTTTCTGAGAATGCTTCTGCTCTAATTTTTTTGTGAAGGTGTTTTCTTTTCCACCATAGACCTCAAAGCACTCCAAATATCCACTTGCAGATTCTTCAGAAAGAGTGTTTCAAAACTGCTCAACCATAGGAAAAGTTCAACTTTGTGAGTTGAATGCACACAATACAAAGAAGTTTCTGAGAATGCTTCTGTCTAGTTTGTATGTGAAGATATTTCCTTTTCCATCATAGGCTTCAATGTGCTCCAAATATCCACTTGTAGATTCTACAGAAAGAGTGTTTCAAAACTACTCTATCAAAAGAAATGTTCAACTATGTGAATTGAATGAACTCATCACAAAGAAGTTTCTGAGAATGCTTCTGTCTAGTTTTCATGTGAAGATATTTCCTTTTACACCATAGGCCTCAAACTGCTCCAAATATCCACTTGCAGATTCTACAAAAAGACTTTTTCAAAACTGCTCAATCAAAGGAAAGGTTCAACTCTGTGAGTTGAATGCACACAACACAAACAACTTTCTGAGAATGCTGCTGTCTACTTTTTATATGCGGATATTTCCTTTCCCACCATAGGCATCAAAGAGCTCCAAATATCCAATTGCAGATTCTACAAAAAGAGTGCTTCAAAACTGCTCAATCAAAGAAAGGTTCAACTCTGTGAGTTGAATGCACACATCACAAAGAAGTTTCTGAGAATGCTTCTGTCTAGCTTTTAAGTGAAGATATTTCCTTTTCCACCATAGGCTTCAGTGTGCTCCAAATATCCACTTGCAGATTCTACAAAAAGAGTGTTTCAAAACTGCTCTACGAAAGAAATGTTCAACTATCTGAATTGAATGAACTCATCACAAAGAAGTTGCTGAGAATACTTCTGTCTAGTTTTTATGTGAAGATATTTTCTTTTCCACCATAGGCCACAAAGCGCTCCAAATATCCACTTGCATTTTCTAAAAAAAAGAAGTGTTTCCAAAATGCTCTTCTAAACAATGGTTCAACACTGTTATTTAATGCACACGTCACAAGGAAGTTTCTGAGAATGTTTCTGTCTAGTTTTTATATGAAGACATTTCCTCTTCTCCCGTAGTCATCGAAGCACTCCAAATATCCACCTACAGATTCTAGAAAAAGAGTGTTTCAAAACTGCCCAATCAAAGAAAAGTTTAAACTCTGTGGGTTGAATACAAACAACACAAGGAATTTTCTGAGAATCCTTCTGTCTGGTTTTTTTTTTGAGGATATTTCCTTTTCCACCATAGGCCTCAAACGATCCAAATATCCACTTGCAGTTTCTACAAAAAGAGTGTTTGAAAACTGCTCAATGAAAAGAAAGGTTCAACTCTGTGAGTTGTATGCACACATCACAAAGAGGTTTCTGAGAATGCTTCTGTCTGGTTTTTTGTGAAGATGTTTCCTTTTCCAATATAGTCCTCAAAGCGCTCCTAATATCCACTTCCACTTTCTACAAAAAGAGTGTTTCAAACCTCTTCTATCAAAAGAAATGTTTAACTGTGTGAGTTGAATACACACAACACAAAAAAGTTTCTGAGAATGCTTCTGTCTGGTTTTCATGTGAGGATAATTTTTTTTTCCATCATAGGCCTCATGGCGCTCCAAATATCCACTTGCAGATTCTACAAAAAGAGTTTTTAAAAACTGCTCTATCAAATAAAAGTTTCAACTCTGTGAGTTGAATGGACACATCACAAAGAAGTTTCTGAGAATGCTTCTGCCTAGTTTTTATGTGAAGATATTTCCTTTTCCACAACAGGCCTCAAAGCACTCCAAATGTCCACTTGCAGATTCTACAAAAAGCGTGCTCCAAAACTGCTCTATCAAAAGAAAGGTTCAACTCTGTGAGTTGAATGCACACGTCACCAAGAAGTTTCTGAGAATGTTTCTGTCTAGTTTTTATGTGAAGATATTGCGTTTTCCGACACAGAACTTAAAGCACTCCAAATGTCCACTTGCAGATTCTACGAAAAGAGTGTTTCAAAACTGCTCTATCAAAGAAAGATTCAACTCTGTGAGTTGAATGCACACATCAAAAAGAAGTTCCTCAGAATGCTTCTGTGTTGTTTTTATGTGAAGATATTTCCTTTTCTACCACAGGCCTCAAACCTCCCCAAATGTCCACATTCAGATTGTACAAAAAGAGGGTTTCAAAACTACTCTATCAAAAGGAATGTTCAACGCTGTGAGTTGAATGCACGCATCACAAAGAAGTTTCTGAGAATGCTTCTATCTAGTTTTTATGTGAAGATATTCCAATTTCCACTGACAGCCTCAAATCAGTCCAAATATTCACTTGCAGATTCTACAAAAAGAGTGTTTCAAAACTGCTCTATCAAAAGGAATGTTCAACTCTCTGAGTTGAATGGACTCATCCCAAAGAAGTTTATGAGAATGCTTCTGTCTCGTTTTTATGTGAAGGTATTCCCGTTTCCATTGTAGGCCTCAAAGAGCTCCACATATCCGCTTGCAGATACTACAAAAAGAGTGTTTCAAAACTGCTCTATCAAAAGAAAGGTTCAACTCTGTTAGTTGAATGCACACATCACAAAGAAGTTTCTGAGAGTGCTCCTGTCTACTTTTTATGTGAAGATATTTCCTTTTACACCATACGCCTCAAAACGTTCCAAATATCCACTTGCAGATTCTCCAAAATACTGTTTCAAAACTACTCTATGAAAAGGATGGTTCAACACTGTGACTTGAATTCACACATCACAAGGAAGTGTCTGAGAATGCTTCTGTCTAGTTTTTATGTGAAGATATTTCCATTTCCACCAGAGGCCTGAAGGCGCTCCAAATATCCACTTGCAGATTCTACAAAAAGAGTGTTTCCAATCTGCTCTATCAAAAGCAATGTTCAACTCTGTGAGTTGAATGCAAACATCACTAAGAAGTTTCTGAGAATGCTTCCGTCTAGTTTTTATGTGAAGATATTTCCTTCTCCACCACAGGCCTCAAAGCTTTCCAAATGTCCACTTGCAGATACTACAAAAAGAGTGTTTCAAAACTACTCTATGAAAGGGAAGGTTCAACTCCGTGAGTTGAGCGCACACATCACAAAGAAGATTCTGAGAGTGCTTCTGTCTAGTTTTTATGTGAAGATATTTCCTTTTCCACCACAGGCCTCAAAGCCCTCCAAATGTCCACTTGCAGATTCTACAAAAAGAGTGTTTCAAAGCTACTCTATCAAAAGAGATGTTCAACACTGTGACTTGAGTGCACACATCACAAAGAAGTTTCTGAGAATGCTTTTGTCTAGATTTTATATGAAGATATTTTTTTCTACCTCAGACTTAAAAGCACTCCAAATATCCCCTTGCAGATTCTACAAAAAGAGTGTTTCAAAACTACTCTATCAAAAGTAAGGCTCAACTCTCTGAGTTGAATGGACACATCACAAAGAAGTTTCAGAGAATGCTTCTGTCTCTTTTTTATGTGAAGGTATTCCCCTTCTACCATAGGCCTGAAAGAGCTCCACATATCCACTTGCAGATTCTACAAAAAGTGTGTTTCAAAACTGCTCTATCAAAAGAAAGTTTCAACTCTGTGAGTTGTATTCAAACATCACAATGCAGTTTCTGAGAATACCTGTGTCTAGTTTTTATATGAAGACATTTCCTTTTCTACCATAGGACTCAAATCGCTCCAAATATCCAATTGCAGATTCTACAAAAAGAGTATTTCAAAACTGCTCCATCAAAAGGAAAGTTCAACTCTCTGAGTTGAATGCAAACATCACAAAGAAGTTTCTAAGTATGCTTCTGTCTAGTTTTTATGTGAAGATATTCCCGTTTCCAGCTTAGGCCTCAAAGCACTCCAATTATCCACTTGCAGACTCTACAAAAAGAGCGTTTCAGAACTTCTCTATCAAAAGAAAGTTTCAACCGTCTGAGTTGAATGCACACATCATAAATTAGTTTCTGAGAATGCTTCTGTCTAGTTATTATATGAAGATATTTCCTTTTCTACCATATACCTCAAAGCGCTCCAAATGTCCACTTGCAGATTCTACAAAAAGAGTGTTTCAAAACTGCTCTATCAAAAGGAAGGTTCAGCACTCTGAGTTTAATGGACACATAGCAAAGGAGTTTCTGAAAATGCTTCTTTCTACTCTTTATGTGAAGATATTTCCTTTTCCACCATAGGCCTCCAAACGCTCCAAATATCTACCTGCAGATTCTACAAAAAGACTGTTTCAAAACTGCTCTATGAAGAGGATGGTCCAACTCTGTGACTTGAATGCCACATCACAAAGAAATTTCTGAGAATGCTTCTGTCTAGTTTTTATATGAAGACATTTCCTTTTCTACCATAGTCCTCAAAGGGCTCCATATATACAGTTGCAGATTCTACAAAAGGAGTGTTTCAAAACTGCTCTATCAAAAGGTTGGTTTAACTCTCTGAATTGAATGCACACATCACAAAGAAGTTTCTGAGAATGCTTCTGTCTAGTTTTAATATGAAGATATTTCCTTTTCCACCACAGGCCTCAAAGTGCTCCAATTGTTCACTTGCAGATTCTACAAATAGAGTGTTTCAAAACTGCTCTATCAAAAGGAAGGTTCAACTCCGTGAGTTGAATGCACCACATCACAAAAAAGTTTCTGAGAGTGCTTCTGTCTTGCTTTTATGTGAAGAATTTCCCGTTTCCACCGAAGGCCTCAAAGAGCTCCACATATACATTTGCAGATTCTACAAAAAGACGGTTTCAAAACTTCTCTATGTAAGGGAATGTTCAACTCTGTGAGTTGAATGCAAATATCACAAAGAAGTTTCTGAGAATGTTTCTGTCTAGTTTTCATGTGAAGATATTTCCTTTTTCACCATAGGCATCAAAGTGCTCAAAATGTCCACTTGCAGATTCTTCAAATCGAGTGTTTCAAAACTGCTCTATCAAAAGAAATGTTGAACTCTGTGAGTTTAATGCACACGTCACAGAAAAGATTCTGAGAATGCTTGTGTCTAGTTTTTATGTGAAGATATTTCCTTTTCCAACACAGACCTCAAAGCGCTCCAAATATCCACTTGCAGATTCTACAAAAAGAGTGTTTCAAAGCTGCTCTATCAAAAGGTAGGTTCAACTCTGTGAGTTGAATGCACACATCACAAAGGAGTTTCTGAGAATGCTTCTGTCTAGTTTTTACGTGAAAATATTCCCGTTTCCACCGAAGGCCTCAGAGATCTCCACATATCCACTTGCAATTTCAACAAAAAGAGTGTTTCAAAACTGCTCTTTGTAAAGGAATGTTCACCTCTGTGAGTTGAATGCAAACATCACAAAGAAGTTTCTGAGAATGCATCTGTCTAGTTTTTATGTGAAGATATTTCCTTTTTCACCATAGGCATCACAGCACTCCAAATGTCCACTTGTAGATTCTACAAAAAGAGAGTTTCAAAAATGCTCAATCAAAAGGAAGATTTAACTCTGTGAGATGAACGCACACATCACAAAGAAGTTTCTCAGACTGCTTCTGTCTAGATTTTCTGTGAAGATATTTACTTTTCTACCATTGGTGGCAAAGCGCTTCAAATGTCCACTTTCAGGATCTACAGAGACAGAGTTTCAAAACTGCTCTATAAAAAAAGGTTTAGCTCTGTAAGATGAATGCACACATCAAAATGATGTTTCTCTGATTGCTTCTGTCTAGATTTTATGTGAAGATATTTCCTTTTCTACCATAGTTCCCAATGTGCACAAAATGACCACGTGCAGATTCTACATGAAGTGTTTTTCCAAACTGCACAATCGAAAGAAAGTTTCAACTCTGTGATATGAACGCACGCATCACAGAGAAATTTCTCAGACTTCTTCTGTCTAGTTTTTATGTGGAGATATTTCCTTTTCCACCATAGGCTTTAAAGTGCTCCAAAGGTCCACTTGCAGATTCCACAAAAAGAGAGTTTTAAAACTGTACAATGAAAAGAAATGTTTAACTCTGTGAGATGAATGCACACATCACAAAGAAGTTTCTCAGATTGCTTCTGTCTAGATTTTATGTGAACATATTTCGTTTTCTACCATAAGCTACAAATCGCTTCACATGTCCACTTGCAAATTCTACTAAAAGAGTGTTTCCAAACTGCTCAATCAAAAGAAAGATTCGAATTTGTAGGATGAAAACGCACATTACAAAGAAGTTACTCGGAATTACTCTCTCTAGTTTTTATGTGAAGATATTTCATTTTCCATAATAGGCCTCAAAGTGCTCGAAATGCCCAATTGCAGATTCTGCAAAGAGTATTTCTGAACCGGTAAATCAAAAGAAAGTTTCATCTCTGGGAGATGAATGCACCTATCACAAAGAAGTTTCTCAGAACGCTTCCATCTAGTTTTGATGTGAAGATATTTCCGTTTCCACCACAGGCCTCAAAGTGCTTCAAATGTCCACTCACATATTCTACAAAAACAGAGTTTCAAAACTGCTCATTCAAAAGAAAGGGTTAACTCTGTGAGATTAAGGCACACATCACAAACTTGTTTCTCTGATTGCTTCTGTCTAGATTTTATGTGAAGATATTTCCTTTTTTACCATAGGCCGCAAAGCACACAAAATGTCCACTTGCAGATCCTACAAAAAGAATGTTTCCAGACTGCTCAATCAAAAGAAAGGTTCAACTCTATGAGATAAATGCACACATCACAAAGAAGTTTCTCAGAATTCTTCTGTCTAGTTTTTATGTGAAGATATTTCCTTTTCCGCCATAGGCCTCAAAGCGCTCCAAATGTCCACTTGCAGATTCTACAAAAAGAGTTTCAAAACAGCCTAATCAAAACAAAGGTTTAACTCTGTGAGATGAATGCACACATCACAAAGAAGTTTCTCAGATTGTTTCTGTCTAGATTTTATGTGAAGATATTTCCTATTCCACCATAGGCCTCAAGGTGCTCGAAATGTCCACTTGCAGATTCCAGAAATCCGAATTTCATAACTGGTCCTTCAAAAGAAAGTTTCAACTCAGGGAGCTGAATGCAAACATCATAAAGAAGTTTCTTAGAATGCTTCTGTCTAGTTTTTATGTGAAGATGTTCCTTTTTCCACCATAGGCCTCAAAGGGCTCCATTTGTCCACGTGCAGATTCTACAAAAGGAGAGTTTCAAAGCACCACAATCAAAGGAAAGTTTTAACTCTGTGAGATGAATGCACACATCACAAAGAAGTTTCTCAGATTGTTTTTGTCTAGATTTTATGTGAAAATATTTCCTTTTCTACCACAGGCCCCAAAGCACTCCAAGTGTCCACTTACAGTTTCTAGAAAAGAGTTTTTCCAAACTGCTCAATGAAAAGAAAGGTTCAACTCAGTTAGATGAACACACACATCACAAAGAAGTTTCTCAGAATTCTTCTGTCTCGTTTTTACGTGAAGATACTTCCTTTTCCACCATAAGCCTTTAACCGCTCCAAAAGTCCATGTGCAGATTATACAAAAAGAGAGTTTAAAAACTGCTCAATCAGAAGAAAGTTTTAAGTCTGTGAGATGAATGCACACATCACAAAGAAGTTTCTCAGATGACTTCTGTCTAGATTTCATGTGAAGATATTTCCTTTTCTGCCATAGGCCGCAAAGGGCTCCAAATGTCCACTTGCATATTCTACAAAAACAATGTTTCCAAACTGTTCAATCAAAAGAAAGGTTCAACTCTGAGAGATGAATGGATACATCACATGGAAGTTTCTCATAATTTTTCTGCCTACTTTTTATGTGAAGATATTTCCTTTTCTGCCATTGGCCTCAAAGCACTCCAAATGTCCACTTTCAAATTCTACAAAAAGAGAGTTTCAAAACTGCTCAATCAAAGAAAGGTTTAACTCCGCCAAATGAATGCATGCATCACAAAGAAGTTTCTCAGATTGTTTCTGTCTAGATTTTATGGGAAGATATTTCCTTTTCTAACATAAGCCGTAAAGCACTACAAATGTTCACTTGCAGAATCTACAAAAAGAGTGTTTTAAAACTTCTCAATCAAAAGAAAGTTTCAACTCTGTGAGATGAACACATCACAAAGAGTTCTCTCAGAATTCTTCTGTCTAGTTTTTATGTGAAGATATTTCCTTTTCCACCATAGGCCTCAAGGCGCTCAAAATGTCCACTTGCAGATTCTACAAAAAGCGTATTTCTAAACTGGTCCTTCAAAAGAAAGGTCCAACTCAGGGAGATGAATGCACCCATCTGAAAGAAGTTTCTCAGAATGCTTCTATCTAGTTTTTATGTGAAGATATTTCCTTTTCCACCATAGGCGTCAAAGCGCTGCAAATGTCGACTTGCAGATTCTACAAAAATAGATTTTCAAAACAGCTCAATCAAAAGAAAGTTTTAACTCCGTGAGATGAATGCACACATCACAAAGAAGTTTCTAATATTGCTTCTGTCTAGATTTTATGTGAAGATATTTCCTTTTCTGCCATAGGCTGCAAAGCGCTCCAAATATCCTTTTGCTGATTCTCCAAAAAGAGTGTTTCCAATCTGCTCCATCAAAAGAAAAGTTCATCTCTGTGAGATGAATGCACCCATCACCAAGAAGTTTCTCAGAATTTTTCTGCCTAGTTTTTATGTGAGGATATTTCCTCTTCCACAACAGACCTCAAAGTGCTCCAAATGTCCACTTGCAGATTCTACCAAAATAGTTTCAAAAGTGCTCAATCAAAAGAAAGGTTTAACACTGTGAGATAAATGCACACATCACAAAGAAGTTTCTCAGACTTCCGGTCTAGATTTTCTGTGAAGATATTTCCTTTTCTGCCATTGGCCGAAAAGCGCTCCAAATGTCCATTTGCAGACTCTACAAAAAGAGTGTTTCCATTCTGCTCTATCAAAAGAAGGGTTCAACTCTGTGAGATGAATGCACGTATCACAAAGAATTTTCTCAGAATTCTTCTGTCTTGTTTTTATGTGAAGATATTTCCTTTTCCAACAGAGGCCTCAAAGTGCTCCAAAAGTCCACTTGCGGATTCTACAAAAAGAGAGTTTGAAAACTCCTCTATCAAAAGAAAGGTTTAACTCTGTGAGAGGAATACGCACATCACAAAGAAGTTTCTCAGATTGCTTCTGTCTAGATTTTATGTGAAGATATTTCCTTTTCTGCTTAGGGACGCGAAGCGCTCCAAATGTCCACTTTCATATTCTACAAAAAGAGTGTTTCCAAACTGCTCAATCAAAAGAAAGGTTCAACTCTGTGAGATGAACGCACCCATCACAAAGAAGTTTCTCAGAATTCTTCTGTCTAGTGTTTATGTGAAGATATTACCTTTTTTAATATACCCCTCAAAGGGCTGCAAATGTCCACTTGCAGATTCTACAAAAAGTTTTTCAAAACTGCTCATGAAAAGAAAGGTTCAACTCTGTGAGATAAACGCAAACATCATGAAGAAGTTTCTCTGAATTCTTCTGTCTTGCTTTTATTTGAAGATATTTCCTTTTTCACCATAGGCCTCAAATTGCTCCCAACATCCAGTTGCAGATTCTACAAAAAGAGAGTTTCAAAATTGCTCAATAAAAAGAAAGGTTTAACTCCGTTAGATAAATGCACACATCAGAAAGAAGTTTCTCAGATTATTTCTGTCTAGATTTTATGTGAAGATATTTCATTTTCTACCACAGGCCGCAAATTCCTCCAGATGTCCACTTGCAGAATCTTCAAAAAGAGAGTTTCAGAACTGCTCAATCAAACGAAAATGTTAAATCTGTGAGATGAACGCACACATTACAATGAAGTTTTTCAGAATTCTTCTGTCTAGTTTTTATGTGAAGATATTTTCATTTCCAGCATAGGCCTCAAGGCACTCGAAATGTCCACTTGCAGATGCCACAAAAGGTGTATTTCAAAACTGGCCCATCGAAAGAAAGGTCCAACACTGGGAGATGAATGCACACATAACAAAGAAGTTTCTCAGAATGCTTCTGTCTAGTTTTTATGTGAAGATATTTCCTTTTCCACCATAGGCGTCAAAGCGCTCCAAATGTCCACTTGCAGATTCCACAAAAAGAGTGTTTCCAAACTGCTTAATCAAAAGAAAAGTTCAACTCTGTGAGATGAACGCGAGCATCACAGAGAAGTTTTTCCAAATTCTTCTGTCTAGTTTTTATGTGAAGATATATCCTTTTCCACATTAGGCCTCAAAGCGCTCCAAATTTCCACTTACAGATTCTACAAACAGAGAGTTTCAAGACTGCTCAATCAAAGGAAAGGTTTAACTCTGTCAGATTGATGCACACCTCAAATAGAAGTCTCTCAGATTGCTTCTGTCTAGGTTTTATGAGAATATATTTCCTTTTCTACCAAAGGCTTCAAATCCCTCCAAATGTCCACTTGCAGATTCTACAAAAACAGTGTTTCCAAACTGCTCACTGAAAAGAAAGGTTCAACTCTGTGAGTTGAAAGCACACATCACTAAAAGTTTCTTAGAATTCTTCTGTCTACTTCTTACGTGAACATATTTCTTTTTCCACTATAGGCCTCAAAGCACTCAAAATGTCCACTTACAGATTCTACAAAAAGAGAGTTTCAAAACTCCTCAATCACAAGAAAGGTTTAATTCTGTGAGATAAATGCACACTTAACAAAGAAGTTGCTCTGCTTGCTTCTATCTAGATTTTATGTGACGATATTTCCATTTCTAACATAGGCCGCAAAGCGCTCCAATTGCCCACTTGCAGATTCTACAAAAAGAGAGTTTCAAAACTGCTCAATCAAAACACAGGTTTAACTCGGTGAGATGATTGCACACATCACAAAGAAGTTTCTCATATTGCTTCTGTCTGGATTTTATGTGAAGATATTTACTATTCTCCCGTAGGCCACACAGCACCCCAAATATCCAATTGCAGATTCTACAAAAACAGTGTTTCCAAACTGCTCAATCAAAAGAAATTTTCAACTCTGTGAGATGAACGTACACATCATGAAGGAGTTTCTTAGAATTCTTTCGTCTAGTTTTTATGTGAAGATATTTCTTTTTCCACCATAGGCCTCAAAGTGCCCCAAATGTCCACTTGCAGATTCTACAAAAAGAGGTTTCAAAACTGCTCTCTCAAAAGAAAGGTTTAACTCTGTGAGATGAATACACACTTCACAAAGAAGTTTCTCAGATTGTTTCTGTCTAGATTTTATCAGAAGATATTTCCTTTTCTACCATAGGCCGCAAAGCGGTCCAAATGTCCACTTGCAGATTTTGCAAAAAAAGTGTTCCCATACTGCTCAATCAAAAGAAAATTTCAACTCTGCGAGATGAAGGCACACATCACAAAGAAGTTTCTCAGAATTCTTCTGTCTAGTTTTTATTTAAAGATATTTCCTTTTGACCGTAGTCCTCAAAGCATTACAAATGTCCACTTGCACATTCTACAAAATGAGAAATTCAAAACTGCTCAATCAAAGGAAAGCTTCAACTGTGTGAGATGAATGCACACATCAAAAAGAAGTTTCTCTGAATTCTTCTGTCTAGTTTTTATGTGAAGATACTTCCTTTTCCACAATAAGCCTCAAGGTGCTCGAAATGTCTACTTGCAGATTCTACAAAAAGAGTATTTCAAAACTGGTCCTTCAAGGAAAGGTTCAACTCAGGGAGATGAATGCATATGTCAGAAAGAAGTTTCTCAGAATGCTTCTCTCTAACTTTTGTGTGAAGTTATTTCCTTTTCCACCACAGGCCTCAAAGCGCTCCAAATGTCCACTTGCAGACGCTACAAAAAGACAGTTTCAAAACTCCTCAATCAAAAGAAAGGTTTAACTCTGTGAGATGAATGCACATATCACAAAGAAGTCTCTCAGGTTGGTTCTGTCTAGATTTTATGTGAAGATATTGTCTTTTCTACCATAGGCCGCAAAGAGCTCCAAATGTCCACTTGCAGAATGTACAAAAAGAGTATTTCCAAAGCGCTCAATCAAATGAAAGATTCAACTCTGTGAAATGAACCCACACATCACAAAGAAGTTTCTCAGAATTCTTCTGTCTAGTTTTTATGTGAAGATATTTCCATTTCCACCATAGGCCTCAAAGCGCTGTAAATGTCCACTTGCAGATTCCACAAAAAGAAAGTTTAAAAACTGCTCAATCAAAACACAGTTTTAACTCTGTGAGATGAATGCACACATCACAAAGAAGTTTCTCAGTTTGCTTCTTTCTAGATTTTATGTAAAGATATTTCCTTTTCTACCATAGGCTGCAAAGCTCTCCAAATATCCACTTGCAGATTGTGGAAAAAGAGTCCTTCCAAACTGCTATATCAAAAGGAATGTTCAACTCTGTGAGATTAATGCATGCATCACAAAGAAGTTTCCCAGAATTCTTCCTTGTAGTTTTTATGTTAAGATATTTCGTTTTCCACTGTAGGCCTCAGAGCTCTCCAAATGTCTACTTGCAGATTCTACACAAAGAAACTTTCAAAAACTGCTCAATGAAAAGAAAGTTTAACTCTGTGAGATGAGCGTACACATCACAAAGAAGTTTCTCAGATTGCTTCTGCCTAGACTTTATGTGAAGATAATTCCTTTTCTAGCATAGCCACAAAGCGCTGATTATGTCCACTGCAGATAGTATAAAAGAGTGTTTCCAAACTGCTCAATCAAAAGAAAGGTTCACCTCTGTGAGATGAACCCACACATCACAAAGAAGTTTCTCAGGATTCTTCTTTCTAGTTTTCATGTGAAGATATTTCCTTTTCCACCATAAGCCTCAAGTCACTCGAAATGTCCAATTGCAGATTCTACAAAAAGAGAGTTTCAAAATTGCTCAATCAAAACAAAGGTTTAACTATGGGAGATGAAAGCACACATCACAAAGGAGTTTCTCAGATTGCTTCTCTCTAGATTTTATGTCAAGATATTTCCTTTTCTACCATGGGCCGCAAAGCACTCCAAATGTCCACTTACATATTCTACAAAAAGAGTGTTTTCAAACTCCTCAATGAAAAGAAACTTTCAACTCTGTGAGATGAACGTACAGACCACAAAGACGTTTCTCAGAAATATTCTGTCTCCAACCCAAAAAGAGAATTTTAGACCATTATCCTTGATGAACATTGATGCAAAAATCCTCAATAAAATACTGGCAAACTGAATCCAGCAGCACATCAAAAAGCTTATCAACCATGATCAAGTGGGCTTCATCCATGGGATGCAAGGCTGGTTCAATATACGCAAATCAATAAATGTAATCCAGCATATAAAAAGAACCAAAGATCAAAACCACATGATTATCTCAATAGATGCAGAAAAGGCCTTTGAAAAAATTCAACAATGCTTCATGCTAAAAGCTCTCAATAAATTAGGTATTGATGGGACGTATTTCAAAATAATAAGAGCTATCTATGACAAACCCACAGCCAATATCATACTGAATGGGCAAAAACTGGAAGCATTCCCTTTGAAAACTGGCACAAGACAGGGATGCCCTCTCTCACCACTCCTATTCAACATAGGGTTGGAAATTCTGGCCAGGGCAATTAGGCAGGAGAAGGAAATAAACAGTATGCAATTAGGAAAAGAGAGAGTCAAATTGCCCCTGTTTGCAGACGATATGATTGTATATCTAGAAAACCCGATTGTCTCAGCCCAAAATCTCCTTAAACTGATAAGCAACTTCAGCAAAGTCTCAGGATACAAAATCAATGTACAAAAATCACAAGCATTCTTAAACACCAAAAACAGACAAACAGAGAGCGAAATCATGAGTGACCTCCCATTCACAATTGCTTCAAAAAGAATAAAATACCTAGGAATCCAACTTACAAGGGATGTGAAGGACCTCTTCAAGGAGAACTACAAACCACTGCTCAAGGAAATAAAAGAGGATACAAAAAATGGAAGAACATTCCATGCTCATCGGTAGGAAGAATCAATATCGTTAAAATGGCCATACTGCCCAAGGTAATTTACAGATTCAATGCCATCTCCATCAAGCTACCAATAACTTTCTTCACAGAATTGGAAAAAACTACTTTAAAGTTCGTGTGGAATCAAAAAAGAGCCCGCATCGCCAAGTCAATCCTAAGCCAAAAGAACAAAGCTGGAGGCATCACACTACCCGACTTCAAACTATACTACAAGGCTACAGTAACCAAAACAGCATGGTACTGGTACCAAAACAGAGATATAGATCAATGGAACAGAACAGACCCCTCAGAAATAATGCCACATATCTACAACTATCTGATCTTTGACAAACCTGAGAAAAACAAGCAATGGGGAAAGGATTCCCTATTTAATAAATGCTGCTGGGAAAACTGGCTAGCCATATGTAGAAAGCTGAAACTGGATCCCTTCCTTATGCTTTATACAAAAATCAATTCAAGATAGATTAAAGGCTTAAATGTTAGACCTAAAACCATAAAAACCCTAGAAGAAAACCTAGGCATTGCCATTCAGGACATAGGCATGGGCAAGGCCTTCATGTCTAAAACACCAAAAGCAATGGCAACAAAAGACAAAATTGACAAATGGGATCTAATTAAACTAAAGAGCTTCTGCACAGAAAAAGAAACTACCATCACAGTGAACAGGCAACCTACAAAATGGGAGAAAATTTTCGCAACCTACTCATCTGACAAAGGACTAATATCCAGAATCTATGATGAACTCAAACAAATTTACAAGAAAAAAACAAACAACCCCATCAAAAAGTGGGTGAATGACATGAACAGACACTTCTCAAAAGAAGACATTTATGCAGCCAAAAAACACATGAAAAAATGCTCACCATCACTGGCCATCAGAGAAATGCAAATCAAAACTGCAATGAGATACCATCTCACACCAGTTAGAATGGCAATCATTAAAAAGTCAGGAAACAACAGGTGCTGGAGAGGATGTGGAGAAATAGGAACACTTTTCCACTGTTGATGGGACTATAAACTAGTTCAACCATTGTGGAAGTCAGTGTGGCAATTCCTCAGGGATCTAGAACTAGAAATACTATTTGACCCAGCCATCCCATTACTGAGTATATACCCAAAGGACTATAAATCATGCTGCTATAAAGACACATGCACACGTATGTTTTTTGCAGCATTATTCACAATAGCAAAACTTGGAACCAACCCAAATGTCCAACAATGATAGACTGGATTAAGAAAATGTGACACATATACACCATGGAATACTATGCAGCCATAAAAAATGATGAGTTCATGTCCTTTGTAGGGACATGGATGAAATTGGAAATCATTCTCAGTAAACTATCGCAAGAAGAAAAAACCAAACACCACATATTCTCACTCATAGGTGGGAATTGAACAATGAGAACACATGGACACAGGAAGGGGAACATCACACACTGTGGCCTGTTGTGGGATGGGGTGAGTGGGGAGGGATAGCATTGGGAGATATACCTAATGCTAGGTGACGAGTTAGTGGGTGCAGCGCACCACCATGGCACATGTGTACATATGTAACTAACCTGCCCATTGTGCACATGTACCCTAAAACTTAATGTATAATATTAAAAAATAATAAATAATAAAAAAATAAAAAAAGAAATATTCTGTCTAGTTTTTATGTGAAGATATTTCCTTTTCCACCATAGGCCTCAAGGCGCTCAAAATATCCAATGACACATTCTACAGAAAGCGTATTTCTAAACTGGTCCTTCAAAAGAACGTTCAACTCTGGGAGATGAATGCACACATCAAAAAGTAGTTTCTCAGAATGCTTGTATCTCGTTTTTATGTGAAGATATTTCCTTTGCCACCAAAGATGTCAAAGCACTCCAGTTGTCCACTTGCACATTCTACAAAAAGTGGGTTTCAATACTGCTCAATCAAAAGAAAGGTTTAACTCTGTGAGATGAATGCATACATCACAAAGAAGTTTCACAGATTTCTTCTGTCTAGATTTTATGTGAAGATATTCCCTTTTCTACCATAGGACACAAAGCACTCCGAATATCCACTTGCAGATTCTACAAAAAGAGTGATCGCAAACTGCTCAATCAAAAGAAAGGTTCAACTCTGTGAGATGAATGCACACATCACAAAGAAGTTTCTCAGAATTCTTCTGTCTAGTTTTTATGTGAAGATATTTCCTTTTCCACCATAGGACTCAACGAGCTCCAAATGTCCACTTGCAGATTCCTCAAAAAGGGAGTTTCAAATCTGTTCAATCAAAAGAAAGGTTTAACTCTGTGAGATGAACGCACACATCACAAAGAAGTTTCTCAGATTGCTTCTGTGTAGATTTTATGTGAAGATATTTCCATTTCTAACATAGGCTGCAAAGCGCTCCAAATGTCCACTTGCAGATTCTACAAAAAGGGTGTTTCCAAACTGCTCAATCAAAAGGAAGATTCAACTCTGTGAGATGAACGCACGTGTCATAAAGAAGTTTCTTTGAATACTTCTGTCCTGTTTTTATGTGAACATATTTTCTTTTGCACCATAGGCCTTTAAGCGCTCCAAGTATCCACTTGCAGATTCTACAAAAAGGCAGTTTCAAAACTGCTTAATCAAAAGAAACTTTTAACTCTGTGAGATAAATGCACACATCACAAAGAAGTTTCTCTGATTGCTTCTGTCTAGATTTTAAGTGAAGATATTTCCATTTCTGCCATTGTTCACAATGCGTGCCAAATGTCCACTTGCAGATTCAAGAAAAAGAGTGTTTCCAAACTGCTCAATCAAAAGTAAGGTTCAACTCTGTGAGATGAATGCACACATCACAAAGAAGTTTCTCAGAATGCTTCTGTCTAGTTTTTATGTGAAGATATTTCCTTTTCCAACATAGACCTCAAAACGCTCAAAATGTCCACCTGCAGACTCTACAAAAACAGAGTTTCAAAACTGCTCAACCAAAAGAAAGATATAGCTCTGTGAGGTGAATGCACACATCAAAAAGAAGTTTCTCAGAATGCTTCTCTCTCGTTTTTATGTGAAGAGATTTCCCTTTCCACCATAGAAGTCAAAGCACTCCAAGTGTCCACTTGCAGATTCCACAAGAAGAGAGTTTCAAAACTGCTCAATCAAAAGAAAGGTTAAACTCTGTGAGATGAATGCACGCATTACAAAGTAGTTTCTCAGAAAGCTTCTGTTTAGTTTTTATGTGAAGATATTTGCTTTTTCACTATAGGCCTCAATGTGCTCCAATTATCCATTTGCAGATTCTGCAAAAAGAGTGTTTCCAAACTTCTCAGTCAAAAGAAATGCTCAACTCTTTGAGATGAAAGCACTCATTTAAAAGAAGTTTCTCAGAAAGCTTCTGTCTAGCTTTTATGTGAAGATATTTCCTACATCACTAAAGGCCACAATAGGCTCAGAATTATCCCTTCGGGGATTCTACAAAGGACTGTTTCCAAACTGCTCTAGCAAAAGAAAGCTTCAACTCTGTGAGATGAATGCACCCATCACAAAAAACTTTCTCAGAATGTTTCTGTGTAGTTTTTATATGAAGATATTTCCTACTTCACCATAGGCCTAAAAGGGTTCACAATTATCCCTTTGTAGAGTTTACAAAAAGACTGTTTCCAAATCTCCGATCAAAGAAATGTTCAACTGTGTGAGATGAATGCAAACGTCACAAAGAAGTTTTTCAGAATGCTTCCGTCTAATTTTTATGTGAAGATATTTCCTTTTTCACCATTGGCCTCAAAGAGCAGCAAATATCCATTTGCAGGTTGTACAAAAGGCTATTTCCAACCTTCTCAATTGAAGGAATTGTTCAACTCTGTGAGATGAAATCACACACCACAGAGAAGTTTCTCAGAAAGCTACTGTTTAGTTTTTATGTGAAGATATTTACTATTTAACCATAGGCCATAAAGGAATCACAATTATACCTTTGCAGATGCTACAAAAATACTGTTACCAAACTGCTCAATCAAAAGAAAGTTTCAACTCCATGAGATGAATGGATACATCACAAAGTAGTTTCTAAGAATGCTTCTCTCTAGCTTTTATGTGAAGATATTTCCTTTTCCACAATAGGACTCAGAGGGCTCCAAATATCCACTTGCAGATTCTACAAAAAGAGTGTTTCAAAACTGCTCTATCAAAAGAAATGTTCAACTCTGTGAGATGAATGCACACATTGGATAGAAGTTTCTCAGAATTCTTCTGTCTAGTTTTTATGTGGAGATATTTCCTTTTCCACCATAGGCCTCAAAGTGGCACAAATGTCCACTTGCACATTCTACAAAAAGAGAGTTACAAAACTCCTCAATCAAAAGAAAGGCTTAACTCTGTGAGAAGAATGCACAGATTACAAAGAAGTTTCTCAGATTGCTTCTGTCTAGATATGTGAAGATATTTTCTTTTCCACCATAGGCCACAAAGCGCCTCAAATGTCCACTTGCACATTCTACAAAAAGAGAGTTTAAAAACTGCTCAATCAAAAGAAAGGTTTAACTCTGTGAGATGAATGCACGAATCACAAAGAAGTTTCTCCAATTGCTTCTGTCTAGATTTTAAGTGAAGATATTTCCTTTTCTACCATAGACCTCTGTGAGATGAACCCACGCATCACAAAGAAGGTTCTCAAAATTCTTCTGTCTAGTTTTTATGTGAAGATATTTCCTTCTCCACGATAGGCCCCAAAGCGCTCCAAATGTCCACTTGCAGATTCTACAAAAAGAGAGCTACAAAACTCCTCAATCAAAAGAAAGGTTTAACACTGTGAGATGAATGCACACATCAGAAAGTAGTTTCTCAGTTTGCTTTTGTCTAGATTTTATGTAAAGATATTACCTTTTCTACCATAAAGCGCTCCAAATGTCCACTTGCAGATTCTACAAATAGAGTGTTTCCAAACTGCTCAATCAAAAGAAAGGTACAACTCTGTGAAATGAACGCACATATAACAAAGAAGTTTCTCAGAATTCTTCTGTCTACTTTTTATGTGAAGATATTTCCTTTTCCACCATAGGCCTCAAAGCCTTCCAAATGTCCATTAGCAGACTCCACAAAAAGTGTGTTTCAAAACTACTCAATCAAAAGAAAGGTTTAATTCTGTGGGATGAAGGCACACATCACAAAGAAGTTTTTCAGATTGCTTCTCTCCAGATTTTATGCGAAGATATTTCCTTTTCTATGGTAGGCCGCAAAGCACTCCAAATGTCCACTTGCAGATACTACAAAAAGAGTGTTTCCAAACTGCTCAATCAAAAGAAAGCTTCAACTCTGTGAGATGAATGCACGCTTATAAAAGAAGTTTCCCAGAATTCTTCTGTCTAGTTTTTATGTGAAGATATTTTCTTTTCCACCACAGGACTAAATGCGCTCCAAATGTTCACTTGAAGATTCTACAAAAAGACAGTTTCAAAACTGCTCAATCAGAAGAAAGGTTTAACTCTGGGAGATGAATGCACACATGACAAAGAAGGTTCCCAGATTGCTTCTGTCTGGATTTTATGTGAGGATATTTACTATTCTCCCGTAGACCACACAGCACCCCAAATATCCAATTGCAGATTCTACAAAAACAGTGTTTCCAAACTGCTCAATCAAAAGAAATTTTCAACTCTGTGAGATGAACGTACACATCACGAAGGAGTTTCTTAGAATTCTTTCATCTAGTTTTTATGTGAAGATATTTCTTTTTCCACCATAGGCCTCAAAGTGCTCCAAATGTCCACTTGCAGATTCTACAAAAAGAGGTTTCAAAACTGCTCTCTCAAAAGAAAGGTTTAAGTCTGTGAGATGAACGCACACATCAAAAAGAAGTTTCTCAGATTGCTTCTGTCTAGATTTTAAGTGAAGATATTTCCTTTTCCACCATAGGCCTCAAAGTGCTCCAAATGTCCACTTGCAGATTCTACAAAAAGAGAGTTTCAAAACTGCTCCATCCAAAGAAAGATTCAACTCTGTGAGAAGAACGTACATATCAAAAAGAAGTTTCTCAGAATTCTTCTGTCTAGTTTTTATGTGAAGATATTTCCTTTTCCACAATAGGCCTGAAAGCCCTCCAAATGTACACTAGCAGATTCTACAAAAAGGGAGTTTCAAAACTCCTCAATCAAAAGAAACTTTTAACTCTGTGGTATGAATGGACATATCACAAAGAAGTTTCTCAGATTGCTTCTGTCTAGATTTTATGTGAAGTTATTGCCTTTTCTATCTTAGGCCACAAAGCGCTCCAAATGACCACATGCAGATTCCACAAAAAGAGTGTTTCCAAACTGCTCAATGAAAAGAAAGGTTCAGCTCTGTGAGATGAATGCACACATCACAAATAAGTTTCTCAGAATTCTTCTGTCTAGTACTTATGTGAAGATATTTTCTTTTCCACCACAGGACTAAATGCGCTCCAAATGTCCACTTGCAGATTCTACAAAAAGAGCATTTCAAAACTGCTCTATTGAAAGAAAGGGTTACCTCTGTGAGATGAATACACACATCACAAAGAAGTTTCTCACATTGCTTCTTTCTAGGTTTTATGTGAAGATATTTCCTTTTCTACCATAGGCCGCAAAGTGCTCCAAATGTCCACTTGCAGAATCTACAAAAATTGTGTTTCCAAACTGCTCAATCAAAAGAAAGGTTCTACTCTGTGAGTTGAATGCACACATCACAAAGAAGTTTCTCAGAATTCTTCTGTCTAGTTTTTATGTGAAGATATTTCCTTTTTCACCACAGGCCTCAAAGCACTCCAAGTGTCCTCTTGCAGATTCTATAAAAAGAGATTTTCAAAGCTGCTCAATCAAAGAAGGGTTTAACTCTGTGAGATGAATGCATACATCACAAAGATGTTTCTCAGATTGCTTCTGTCTAGATTTTATGTGAAGATATTTCCTTTTCTACCATAGGCCTCAAAGCCCTCCAAATGTCCACTTGCAGATTCCACAAAAGGAGTGTTTCAAAACTGCTCAATCAAAAGAAATGTTTAACTCTGTGAGATGAATGCACAAATCAAAAAGAAGTTTCTCACATTGCTTCTGTCTAGGTTTTATATGAGGATATTTCCTTTTCTACCATAGGCCACAAAGCACTCCAAATGTCCACTTGCAGAATCTACAAAAATTGTGTTTGCAAACTGCTCAATCAAAAGAAAAGTTCAACTCTGTGAGATGAACGCACACATCACAAAGAAGTTTCTCAGAATTCTTTTGTCTAGTTTTATGTGAAGATATTTCATTTTCCACCATAGGCCTCAAGATGCTCTAAATGTCCACTTACACATTCTACAAAAAGAGTATTTCAAAACTGGTCCATAAAAAGGAAAGTTCAACTCTGTGAGATGAATGCACATGTCAGAAAGAAGGTTGTCAGAATGCTTCTGTCTAGTTTGTATATGAAGATATTTCCTTTTGCAACATAGGCCTAAAAGCTCTCAAAATCTCCACATGCAGATTCTACAAAAAGACAGTTTCAGAACTACTCCATCAAAAGGGAGGTTCAATACTGCAAGATGAATGCACACATCACTAAGAAGTTTGTCAGAATGCTCCTGTCTAGTTTTTATGTGAAGATATTCCTTATTCTACAATAGTCCACAAGGCGCTCCAAATGTCCACTTGCAGATTCTACAAAAAGAGGGTTTCAAAGCTGCTCAATCAAAAGAAAGGTTCAATACTGTGAGATGAATGCACACATCACAAAGAAGTTTGTAAGACTGGCTCTATCTACTTTCTATGTGAAGGTATTTCCTTTTCTACCATTGGCCTGAAGTGCCGCAAATGTCCAATGGCAGATTCTACAAAAAGAGTGTTTCAAAGCTGCTAAATCAAAAGAAATGTTCAACTCTGTGAGATGAAAGCACACATCACAAAGACGTTTGTCAGAATGCTTCTGTCTAGTTTTTATGTGAAGATATTTCCTTTTACACTGCAGGCCTCAAAGCTCTCCAAATGTCCACTTGCAGATTCTACAAAAAGAGTGTTTCAAAACTGCTCAACGAAAAGTAAAGGTTCAACTCTGTGAGATGAATGCACACATCACAAAGAAGTTTCTCAGAATCCTTCTGTCTAATTTTTATGTGAAGGTATTTCCTTTTCCACTGTAGGCCTCAAAGTGTTCCAAATGTCCACTTGCAGACTCTACAAAGAGTGTTTCAAAGCTGCTCAATCAAAAGAAAGTTTCAACTTTGTGAGATGAATGCACACATCACAAAGCAGTTTGTGAGAATGCTTCTGTCCAGTTTTTATGTGAAGATATTTCCTTTTCCACCATAGGCCTCAAACCGCTCCAAATATCCACTTGCCGATTCTAAAAAAAAAAAAGTGTTTCAAAGCTGCTCAATCAAAAGAAAGGTTCAACCCTGTGAGCTGAATGCACCCATCCCAAGAAGTGTGTCAGAATGCTTCTGTCCGGTTTTTATGTGACGATATTTCCTTTTTCATCATAGGCCTCAAAGAGCACTAAATGTCCGTATGCAGATTCCACAAAAAGAGTGTTCGAAAACAGCTCAGTGAAAAGTAAGGTTCCACTCTGTGAGATGAATGCACACATCACAAAGAAGTTTAACAGAATGCTTCTGTCTAGTTTTCATGTGAAGATTTTCCTTTTCCACCATTGGTCTCAAAATGCTCCCAATGTCCACTTGCAGATTCAACAAAAAGAATGTTTCAAAGCTGTTCAATGAAAAGAAATGTTCAACTTTGTGAGCTGAATGCACACATCACAAAGAAGTTTGTCAGAAAGCTTCTGCCTAGTTTTATATGAAGATATTTCCTTTTCCACAATAGGCCTCAAAGTGCTCCACATGTCCACTTGCAGATTCTACAAAAAGAGTGTTTCAAAGCTGCTCATTCCAAAGAAAGGTTCAACTCTGTGTGAGATGAATGCACACATCACAAAGAAGTTTCTCATAATGCTTCCGTCTAGTTATTATATGAAGATATTTCGTTGTCCACCCATAGGCCTCAAAGCTCTCCAATGTCCACTTGGAAATTCTACAAAAAGAGTGTTTCAAAACTGCTCCATCGAAAGTAAGGTTCAGCACTTTGAGGTGAATGCACACATCACAGAAAACTTTTTCTGAATGCTTATGTCTAGTTTTTATATGAAGATATTTCCATTTCCACCATAGGCCTCAAAGCGCTCAAATAGTCCACTTGTAGATTCTACAAAAAGAATGTTTCAAAGCTGCTCAATCAAAAGAAAGTTTCATCTCTGTGAGATGAATGCACATATCAAAAGAAGTTTGTCAGAATGCTTCTGTCTCGTTTTTATGTGAAGATATTTCCTTTTCCATCATAGGCCTCAAAGTGCTCTAAATATCCAATTGCAGATTCTAAAAAAAGAGTGGTTCAAAACTGCTCAATGAAAAGTAAGGTTCAACTCTGTGAGAAAAATGCACATATCACAAAGAAAATTGTCAGAATGCATCTGTCTGGTTTTTATGTGAAGATATTTCCTTTCCCACCATGGGCCTCAAAGCGCTCCAAATGTCCACTTGCAGATACTTCAAAAAGAGTGTTTCAAAACTGCTCAATTGAAAGCAAGTTTCAGCACTGTGAGATGAATGCACACATCACAAAGAAGTTTGTCAGAATGCTTCTGTCTAGTTTTCATGTGAAGACATTTCCTTTTCCGCGATAGGCCTCATAGTGCTCCAAATGTCCACTTGCAGATTCTACAAAAACGGTGTTTCAAAACTGGACTCTGACAAACTTCTTTGCGATATATGCCTCCATCTTACTGTGTTGAACATTTCTTTTCATGGAGCAGTTTTGAAACACTCTTTTTGTAGAATCTGCAAGTGGACATTTGGAGCGCTTTGAGGCCTATGGTGGAAAAGGAAATATCTTCACATAAAAACTAGACCAAAGCATTCTGACAAACTTCTTTGTGATGTG
>NT_187420.1:163945-175742 GCF_000001405.40 Homo sapiens
AACTAGACCAAAGCATTCTGACAAACTTCTTTGTGATGTGTGCATTAATAGTACAGAGTTGAACCTTACTTTTCATTGATCAGTTTTCAAACACTCTTTCTGTAGAATCTGCAAGTGGATATTTGGAGCGCTTTGGGGGCTGTGGTGGAAAAGGAAGTATCTTTACATAAAAACTAGACAGATGCATTCTGACAAACTTTTTTGTGATGTGTGCATTCATCTCAGAGAGTAGAAACTTTCTTTTCATTGAGCAGCTTTGAAACTCTCTTTTTGTAGAATCTGCAAGTGGACATTTGGAGCACTTTTAGGCCTAAGGTGGAAAAGGAAATATCTTCAAACAAAAAGTAGACAGAAGCATTCTGACAAACTTTTTCGTGATGTGTGCTTTCATCTCACAGAGTTGAAACTTACTTTTCATTGTGCACTTTTCATTGTTCAGGCCTAAGGTGGAAAAGGAAATATCTTCACATAAAAACTACGTCGAAGCATTTTGACAAACTTCTTTGTGATGTGTGCATTCATCTCACAGAGTTGAAACTTACTTTGATTGAGTAGTTTTGAAACACTCTTTTTGTAGAATCTGCAAGTGGATATTTGTAGCACTTTGAGCCCTGTTCTGGAAAATGAAATACCTTCACATAAAATCTGCACAGAAGCATTCTCAGAAACTTCTTTGGGATGTGTGCATTCATGTCGCAGAGTTGAACGTTTCTATTGATTCAGCAGTTTGGAACCACTCTCTTTGTATAATCTGCAAGTGGATATTTGGAGCCGTTTGAGGCCTATTGTGGAAAAGGAAATGTCTTCACATAAAAACTACACAGAAGCGTTCTGAGAAACTTCTTTTTGATGTGTGCATTCATCTCACAGACTTGAGTCTTTATTTTGATACAGCAGTTTGGAAACATTCTTTTTGTAGAATCTGCAATTAGATATTTGGAGGGCTTTGAGACCTATGGAGGGAAAGGAAACGTCTTCACATAAAAAGCATACAGAAGCATTCTGAGAAACTTCTTTGTGATGTGTGCCTTCATCTCAACAGGCTGAACCAATCTTTTTATAGAGCAGTTTTGAAACTCTCTTTTTGTAGAATCTGCAAGTGGATATTTGAAGTGATTTGGGGCCTATGGTGGAAAAGGAAAAATCATCACATAAAACCTACAGAGAAGCATTCTGAGAAACTTCATTGTGAATGTGTGCTTTCAACTCACTGAGTTGAATCTATCTTTTGATAGAGAGGTTTTGAAACACTCTTTTTGTTGAATCTGCAAGTGTTTATTTGGAGACCTTTGTGGCCGAAGGTGGAAAAGGAAATATCTTCCCATAAAAACTACACAGAAGCATTCTGAGAAACTATTTTGTGATGTGTGCATTCATCTCACAGAGCTGAACCCTTCATTTGATAGAGCAGTTTTTAAACTCTTCTTTTGTAGAATCTGCAAGTGGATATTTGGAGCCCTTTCAGGCCTATGGTGGAAAAGGAAATATCTTCACATAAAAACTAGACAGAAGCATTCTGAGAAAATTCTTTCTGATGTGTGCATTCATCTCACAGAGTTGAAACTTTCTTTTGATAGAGCAGTTTTGAAACACACTTTTTGTAGAATCTGCAAGTGGATATTTGGAATGTTTTGAGGCCTATAGTGGAAAAGGAAAAATCTTTACATAAAAACTACACAGAAGCATTCTGAGAAACTTCTTTGTAATGTGTGCCTTCATCTCATAGAGTTTTACCATTCTTTTGATAGGGCAGTTTTAAGACTCTCCTTTTGTAGAATCTGAAAGTGGATATCTGGAGCCCTTTGCAGCCTATAGTGGAAAAGGAAATATCTTCAAATAAAAACTACACAGAAGCATTCTGAGAAACTTCTCTGTGATGTGTGCATTCAACTCGCAGATTTGAACCTATCTCTTGGGAGCAGTTTTGAAACTCTCTTTTTGTACAAGCTGCAAGTGGTTATTTGGAGCTCTTTGTGGCCGATGGTGGTAAGGGTAATATCTTCCCATAAAAACTACACAGAAGAATTCTGAGAAACTTCTTTGTTATGTGTGCATTTATCTCACAGAGTTGAACCTTTCATTGGATTGAGCAGTTTGAAACACTCTTTTTGTAGAATCTGCAAGTGGATATGTGGAACGCTTTGAGGCCTATTGTGGAAAAGGATATATCTTCATATAACTACACAGAAGAATTCTCAGAAACTTCTTTGTTTTGTTTGCATTCATCTCACAGAGTTGAACCTTTCTTTTGATAGAGCAGTTTTGAAACACTCTTTTTGTAGAATCTGCACGTGGATATTTGGAGTGCTTTGAAGCCTACCTTGGAAAAGCAAATATCTTCCCATAAAAAATACACAGAAGCATTCTGAGAAACTTCTTTGTGATGTGTGCCTTCATCTCACAAGGGTGAACCTTTCTTTTGATTGAGAAGTCTTGAAACACTCTTTTTGTAGAATCAGCAAGTGAATATTTGGAGTGATTTGAGACCTATTGTGGTATAGGAAATATCTTCACATAAAAACTACACAAAAGCATTCTGAGAAACTTCTTTGTGATGTGTACATTCAACTCACAGAGTTGAACCTATCTTTCTATTGAGCAGTTTTGAATCTCTCTTTTTGTAGAATCTGCAAGTGGATATTTGGAGCCCTTTGCGCCCTGTGGTGAAAAAGGAAATATCTTCAAATAAAAACTACACAGAAGCACTCAGAGAAAGTAATTTGTGATGAGTGCGTTGATCACACAGAGTTGAACATTTCTTTTTATTTAGCAGTTTTGAAACAGTCTTTTTGCAGAATCTGCAAGTGGATATTTGGAGAGTTTGAAGCTTGTGGTGGAAAAGGATATATCTTCCAATAAAAAATACACAGAAGCATTCTGGGAAACTTCTTAGTGATGTGTGCATTTAACTCACAGACTGGAACCTATCTTTTGATTGAGCAGTTTTGAATCTCTGCTTTTGTAGAATCTGCAAGTGGATATTTGGAGCCCGTTGCGGCCTATTGTGGATAAGGAAATATCTCCACATAAAAACTACACAGAAGCATTCTGAGAAACATCTTTGTGATATGTGCATTCATCACACAGGGTTAAACCTACCTTATGATTGAGCAGTTTTGAAACACTCTTTTTGTAGAATCTGAAAATGAATATTTGGAGCGCTTTGAGGCCTACCGTGGAAAAGCAAATATATTCATATAAAACTACCCAGTAGCATTCTGAGAAACTTGTTTGTAATGTGTGCATTCATCTCACAGAGTTGAACCTTTCTTTTGATTGAGCAGCTTTGAAAGACTCTTTTTGTAAGTGGTAATTGGAGCCCTTTGTGGCCTATGGTGGAAAAGAAAATGTCTTCACTTAAAAACTACACAGAAGCATTCTGAGAAACTTCTTTGTGATATGTGCATACAACTCACAGAGTTGAACTTATCTTTTCATTGAGCAGTTTTGAATCTCTTTCTGTAGAATCTGCAAGTGGATATTTGGAGCCATTTGCGCCCTATGGTGGAAAAGGAAATATCTTCAAATTCAAACAACACAGAAGCATTCAGAGAAACTTGTTTGTGATGAGTGCATTCATCACACAGAGTTGAACGTTTCTTTTTATTGAGCAGTTTTGAATCTCTCATTTTGCAGAATCTGAAAGTGGATATTTGGAGCACTGTGAGGCCAACTGTGGAAAATCAAATATCTTCATATAAAAACTTCACAGAAGCATTCTGAGAAACCTCTCTGTGATGTGGGCATTCAACTCACAGAGTTGAACCTTTCTTTTGATTGAGCAGTTTTGAAACACACTTTTTCTAGAATCTACAAGTGGATATTTGGAGCGATTTGAGGCCTATTGTGGAAAAGGAAGTATCTTCACCTAAAAACTACACAGAAGCATTCTGAAAAACTTCTTTGTGTTGTGTGCATTCATCACACAGGGTTGAACCTATCTTATGACTGAGCAGTTTTCAATCTCTTTTTTTGTATAATCTGCAAGTAGATACTTGTAGCCCTTTTTGTCCTATGATTGAAAAGAAAATATCTTCAAATAAAAACTACACAGAAGCATTCAAAGAAACTTCTTTGTGATGAGTGCATTCATCAGAAACAGTTGAACGTTTCTTTTGATTCAGCAGTTCTGAATCTCTCATTTTGCAGATCTGAAAGTGGATATCTGTAGCGGTTTGAGGCCTACAGTGCAAAAGCACGTATCTTCAAATAAAAACTATGCAGATGCATTCTGAGAAAATTATTTGTGAGGTGTGCATTCAACTCACACAGCCAAACCTATACTTTGATTGAGCAGTTTTGAATCTCTTTTTTTGCAGAATCTGCAAGTGGACCTTTGGAGAGCTTTGAGGCCTATTGTGGAAAAGGAAATATCTTCACATAAAAAATACACAGAAGCATTCTGAGAAACTTCTTTGTGATGTGTGCATTCAACTCACAGGGTTGAACTGATCTTTTGATTGAGCAGTTTTGAAACTCCCTTTTTGTAGAATCGGCAGGTGGATATTTGGAGCCCTATGCTGCCTATGGTGGAAAAGGAAATATATTCAAATAAAAACTACACAGAAGCATTCTGAGAAACTTCTTTGGGATGTGTGCATTCATCTCACAGAGTTGAACGTATCTTTTGAGTGAGCAGTTTTGAATCTTTCTTTTTGTAGAATCTGCAAGAGGATATTTGGAGCGCTTGGAGGTCTACTGTGGAAAAGCAAATATCTTCACATGAAAACAGCACAGAAGCATTCTGAGAGACTTATTTGCTACGTGTGCATTCACCTCATAGAGTTGAAACTTTCTTTTGATTTAGTAGTTTCGAAACACTCTTTTTGTACAATCTGCAATTGGATATTTGAAGCGATTTGAGGCCTATTGTGGAAAAGGAAATATCTTCACATAAAAAATACACAGAAGCATTCTGAGAAACTTCTTTGTGATGTGTGCATTCAACTCACAGGGTTGAACTGATCTTTTGATTGAGCAGTTTTGAAACTCCCTTTTTGTAGAATCGGCAGGTGGATATTTGGAGCCCTATGCTGCCTATGGTGGAAAAGGAAATATATTCAAATAAAAACTACACAGAAGCATTCTGAGAAACTTCTTTGTGATGTGTGCATTCATCTCACAGAGTTGAACGTATCTTTTGAGTGAGCAGTTTTGAATCTTTCTTTTTGTAGAATCTGCAAGAGGATATTTGGAGCGCTTGGAGGTCTACTGTGGAAAAGCAAATATCTTCACATGAAAACAGCACAGAAGCATTCTGAGAGACTTATTTGCTATGTGTGCATTCACCTCATAGAGTTGAAACTTTCTTTTGATTTAGTAGTTTCGAAACACTCTTTTTGTACAATCTGCAATTGGATATTTGAAGCGATTTGAGGCCTATTGTGGAAAAGGAAATATCTTCAAATAAAAACTACACAGAAGCATTCTGAGAAGCTTCTTTGTGATGTGTGCATTCAACTCACAGAGTTGAACCTATCTTTTGATTGAGCAGTTTTGAATCTCTCTTTTTGTAGAATCTGCAAGTGGATATTTGGAGCCCTCTCTGGCCTATGGTGGAAAAAGAAATATGTTCAAATGAAAACTACAGAAAAGCATTTTGAGGAACTTCTTTGTCATGTGTGCATTCATCTCACATGGTTGAACCTATATTATGATTGAGCAGTTTTGAAAAACTCTTTTTGTTTAATTTGCAAGTGGACACATGGAGCCCTTTGAGGCCTACTGTGGAAAAGCAGATATTTCCACCTAAAAACTATACAGAAGCATTCTGAAAAACTTTTTTGTGATGTGTGCATTCACCTCACAGAGTTGAACCTTTCCTTTGATTGAGCAGTTTTGAAACACTCTTTTTGTAGGATCTGCAAGAGGATATTTGGAGCGATTTCAGTTCAATTATGGAAAAGGAAATGTCTTCATGTAAAAACTACACAGAAGCATTCTGAAAAACTTTTTGTGATGTGTGCATTCATCTCACAGGGTTGAACCTATCTTATGATTGAGAAGTTTTGAAACACTCCTTTGAAGAATCTGCAAGTGGATATTTGGAATGCTTTGAGGCCTATTGTGGAAAAGGAAATATGAGAAACTTCTTCATGATGTGTGCACTCATCTCACAGAGTTGATCCCTTCTGTTGATTGAGCAGTTTTGAAACTGTTTTTGTAGAATCTGCAATTGGATGTTTTGAGTGCTTTGATGCCTACTGAGGAAAAGCAATTATCTTCATATAAAAACTACACAGAAGCATTCTGAGAAACTTCTTTGTGATGTGTGCATTCAACTCACAGAGTTTAAGCTTTCTTTTGATTGAGCAGTTTGGAAACACTCTTTTTGTAGAATCTGCAAGTGGATATTAGGAGAGACTTGAGTCTTATTGTGCAAAAGGAAATATCTTCACATAAATACTACACAGAAGCATTCTGCGAAACTTCTTTGTTATGTGTGCATTCAACTCACATAATTGAACCTATCTTTTGACTCAGCAGTTTTGAATCTCGCTTTTGGTAGAATCTGCAAGTGGATATCTGGAGCCCTATGTGCCCTAGGGTGGAAAAGGATATATCTTCACATAAAAACTACACAGAAGCATTCTGGGAAACTTCTTTGTGATGAGTGCATTCATCACACAGAGGTGAACCTATCTTTTGATTGAGCAGTTTCGAATCTCTCTTTTTGCAGAATCTGCAAGGGGATATTTTGAGCCCTTTGAGGCCTACTTTGGAAAAGCAAATATCTTCACATAAAAACTACACAGAAGGCCGGGCGCGGTGGCTCACGCCTGTAATCCTAGCACTTTGGGAGGCCGAGACGGGCGGATCACGAGGTCAGGAGATCGAGACCATCTTGGCTAACACGGTGAAACCCCGTTTCTACTAAAAATACAAAAAATTAGCCGGGCGTGTTGGCGGGTGCCTGTAGTCCCAGCTACTTGGGAGGCTGAGGCAGGAGAATGGCATGAACCTGGGAGGCGGAGCTTGCAGTGAGCCGAGATCGCGCCACTGCACTCCAACCTGGGAGACACAGCGAGACTCCGTCTCAAAAAAAAAAAAAAAAAAAAAAAACTACACAGAAGCATTCTGAGAAACTACTATGTGAGGTGTGCATTCAAATGACAGAGTCGAGGCTATCTTTTCATTGAGCAGTCTTGAATCTCTCTTTTTGCAGAATCTGCAAGTGGATGTTTGGAGAGATTTGAGGTCTATTGTGGAAAAGGAAATATCTCAACATAAAAACTACACAGAAGCATTCTGAGAAACTTCTTTGTGATATGTGCATTCAACTCACAGAGTTGAACCTATATTTTGATTGAGCAGTTTTGAATTTGTCTTTTGTTAGAATCTGCAAGTGGATATTTGGAGCCCTTAGTGCCTTATGGAGGAAAAGGAAATATCTTCAAATAAAACTACTCAGAAGCATGCAGAGAAACTTCTTTGTGATGAGTGTATTCATCACAGAGAGTTGAACTTTCTATTGATTGAGAAGTTTTGAAACACTCTTTCGGTAGAATTTGGAAGTGGATATTTGGAGGGCTTTGAGGCATATTTTGGAAAAGAAAATATCTTCACATAAAAACTACACAGAAGTATTCAGAGAAACTTCCTGGTGATGTGTGCAATCAACACACAGAGTTTTACCTATCTTTTGATTGAACAGTTTTGAATCTCTCTTTTTTCAGAATCTGCAAGTGGATATTTGGAGCTCTCTGAGGCGTACTGTGAAAAATCAAATATCTTCACCTAAAAACTACACAGAAGCATTCTGAGAAACTCCTTTGTTATGTGTGCATTCAACTCACAGAGTTGAAACTATCTTTGGATTCAGCAGTTTTGAATCTCTCTTTTTGTAGAATCTGCAACTGGATATTTGGAGTCCTTTGTGCCATATGGTAGAAAAGGAAATATCTTCAAATAAAAACTATACAGAAGCATTCTGGGAAACTTCTTTGTGTTGAGTGCATTCATCACACAGTGTTGACACTTTCTTTTGATTGAGTAGTTTTGAAAAATCTTTTTGTAGAATCTGGAAGTGGATATTTGGAGGGCTTTGAGGACTCTTTTGGAAAAGGAAATATCTTCACATAAAAACTACACAGAAGCATTTTCAGAAACTTTTTTGTGATGTGTGGTTTCATCTCACAGAGTTGAACCTTTCTTTTCATTGAGCGGTTTGGAAACACCATTTTTGTAGAATCTGCAAGTGGATATTTTGAGTGCTTTGTGATCTATGGTGGAAAAGGAAATATCTTCACATAAAAACTACAGAAGCATTCTGAGAAAATTCTTTGTGATGTGCGGATTTATCTCACAGAGTTGAACCTTTCTTTTGATTGAGCAGTTTCGAAACACTCTCTTTTTAGAATCAGCAAGTGGATATTTGGAGTGCTTTGAGGCCTATGGTGGCAAAGGAAATATCTTTACATGGAAACTACACAGAAGCATTCAGAGAAACTTCTTTGTGAAGTGCGTATTCAACGCACTGAGTTCAACCTATGTTTCTATAGAACTGTTTTGAAGCTCCCGTTTTTTAGAATCTGCAATTGGATATTTGGAACCCTTTGTGGCAGATGGTGGAAAAGGAAACATCTTCCCAAAGAAATTACACAGAAGCATTTCGAGAAACTTATTTGTGATGTGTGCTTTCATCTCACAGAGCTGAATCTTAATTTTGATTGAGCAGTTTGGAAACACTCTTTTTGTAGAATCTGCAAGTGGATATTTGCAGCACTTTGAGGCCTATGATGGAAAAGGAAATATCTTCACATAAAAACTACACATAAGCATTCTGAGAAACTTCTTTGTGATGTTTGCATGCTACTTAGGGAGTTGAACCTATCTTTTGATAGACCAGTTTTAAAACCCTCTTTTTGTAGAATCTGCAAGTGGATATGTGGAGCCCTTTGCAGCCTATGGTGGAAAAGGAAATATCTTCACATAAAAGCTATACAGAAGCATTCTGAGAAACTACTTTGTGATGTGTACATTCGTCTCACAGAGTTGAACCTTCAATTTGATGGAGCAGTTTTGAAACATTCTTTTTGTAGAATCTGCAAGTGCATAATTGGAGTGCTCTGACACCTATTGTGGAAAAGGAAATATCTTCACATAAAAACTACACAGAAGCATTCTCAGAAACTTCGTTGTGATGAGTGCATTCATTGCACAGAGTTGAACTTTTGTTTTGATTCAGCAGTTTGCAAACTCTCTTTTTGTAGAATCTGCAACTGGATATTTGAAGACCTTTGAGGCCTATTGTGAAAAAGTAAATATCTACATATAAAACTACACAGAAGCATTCTGAGAGACTTCTTTGTGATGTGTGCATTCATCTCACAGAGTTGAACCGTTCCTTTGATTTAGCAGTTTCAAAACACTCTTTTTGTAGAATTTGCCAGTGGATATTTGGGTCCCTTTGAGGCAGATGGTAGAAAAGGAAATATTTTCCCATAGAAACTACACAGAAACACTCGGAGAAACTTCTTTGCGATGTGTGGTTTCATCTCACAGAGTTGAACCATTATTTTGATTGAGCACTTTGGAAACACACTTTTTGTGGAATCTGCAAGTGGATATTTGGAGTGCTTTCAGGCCTATTGCGGAAAACGAAATATCTTCACATAAAAACTACACAGAAGCCTTCTGAGAAACCACTTTGTGATGTGTGCATTCAACTTACAGAGTTGAACCTATCTTTTGAATGAGCAGTTTTGAAACTCTCTTTTTGTAGACTCTACAAGTGGAAATTTGAGCCCTTTGTGGCCGATGGTGGAAAAGGAAATATCTTTCCATAAAAACTACACAGAATTATTCCGAGAACCTTCTTTGTGATGTGTGCATTCATCTCACGGAGTTGAACCTTTCTTTTGATTGAGCTGTTTTGAAACAGTCTTTTTGTATTAAATGTAAGTGCATATTTGGAGCGCTTTGTGGTCTATTGTGGAAAGGAAATATCTTCACATAAAATCTACACAGAAGCACTCTCAGAAAATTCTTTGTGATCTGTGCATTTATCTCAGAGTTGAACCCTTCTTTTGATTGAACAGTTTGGAAACACTCCTTTTGAAGAATCTGCAAGTGGATATTTGGAGCGCTTTGAGGCGTATGGTGGAAAAGGAAATACCTTCACATAAAAACTACCCAGAAGCATTCTGAGAATCTACTTTGTGATGTGTGCATTTAAATCACATAGTTGAACCTACCTTTTGACAGAGCAGCTTTGAAATTCTCTTTTTCTAGAATCTGCAAGTGGATATTTGGAGCCCTTTGAAACCTGTGGTGGAAAAAGGAATATCTACACAGAAAAACTACACAGAAGCATTCTGAGAAACTTTTTAGTGATGTTTACATTTATCTCACAGAGTTCAACCTCTCTTTTGATTGAGCAGTTTGGAAACACTGTTTGCAGAATCTGCAAGTGGATATTTGGAGTGCTTTTAGGCTTATTGTTGAAAAGGAAATATCTTCACATAAAAACTACACAGAAACTTTCTAAGAAACTTCTTTGTGATGTGTGCATTCCTGTCACAGAGTTGAACCTTTCTTTGCATTGACCAGTTTGGAAACACTCTTCTTGTAGAATCTGCAAGTGGATATTTGGAGCACTTTGAGGCGTATTGTGGAAAAGGAAATATCTTCACATAAAAACTACCAAGAAGCATTCTGAGAATCTACTTTGTGATGTGTGCGTTCAACTCACAGAGTTGAAACTATCTTTTGATAGAGCAGCTTTGAAACTCTCTTTTTGTAGAATCTCCAAGTGGATATTTGGAGCCCTTTGAAGCCTATTGTGGAAAAAGGAATATCTTCACAGAAAAACTACACATAAGCATTCTGAGAAACTTCTTAGTGATATGTGCATTCATCTCACAGAGTTCAACCTCTCTTTTGATTGAGCAGTTTGGAAACACTCTTTTTGTAGAATCTGCAAGTGGATATTTGGAACACTTTTAGGCCTATTGTTGTAAAGGAAATATCTTCACATAAAAAGTACAGAGAAGCATTCTGAGAAACTTCTTTGTGATGTGTGCATTCAAGTCATAGAGTTGAACCTATATTTTGATAGAGCAGTTTTGAAACTCTCTCTTTGTAGCATCTGCAAGTGGATATTTGGAGCCGTTCTCAGCCTAAGTTGGAAAAGGTATTAACTTCACATAAAAACTATACAGAAGCATGGTACTGCTACCAAAACAGAGATATAGTCAATGGAACAGAACAGAGCCCTCAGAAATAATGCCACGTGTCTACAACTATCTGATCTTCTACAAACCTGAGAAAAAACAGGCAATGGGGGCAGGATTTCCTATTTAATAAATGGTACTGGGAAAAATGGTTAGACACATGTAGAAAGCTGAAACTGGATCCCTTTCTTACAGCTTATACAAAAATTAATTCAAGATAGATTAAAGACTTAAACGTTAGACCTAAAACCATGAAAACCCTGGAAGAAAACCTAGGCTTTACCATTCAGGACATAACCATAGGAAAAGACTTCATGTCTAAAACACCAAAAGCAAAGGAAACAAAAGCCAAAATTGACATATGGGATCTAATTAAACCAGAGCTTCTGCACAGCAAAAGAAACTACCTTCAGGGTGAACAGGCAGCCTACAAAATGGGAGAAAATTTTCACAACCTACTCATCTGACAGAGGGCTAATATCCAGAATCTACAATAAACTCAAACAAATTTACAGGAAAAAAACAAACAACCCCATCAAAAAGTGGGTGAAGGACATGAACAGACACTTCTCAAAAGAAGACATTTATGCAGCCAAAAAACACATGAAAAAATGCTCACCATC
>NT_187420.1:175762-227673 GCF_000001405.40 Homo sapiens
CTCAAACAAATTTACAGGAAAAAAACAAACAACCCCATCAAAAAGTGGGTGAAGGACATGAACAGACACTTCTCAAAAGAAGACATTTATGCAGCCAAAAAACACATGAAAAAATGCTCACCATCACTGGCCATCAGAGTAATGCAAATCAAAACTGCAATGAGATACCATCTCACACCAGTTAAAATGGCAATCATTAAAAAGTCAGGAAACAACAGGTGCTGGAGAGCATGTGGAGAAACAGGAACACATTTACACTGTTGGTGGGACTATAAACTAGCTCAACCATTGTGGAAGTCAGTGTGGCAATTCCTCAGGGATCTAAAATTACAAATACCATTTGATCCAGCCATCCCATTACTGGGTATATACCCAAAGGACTATAAATCATGCTGCTATAAAGACACATGCACACGTATGTTTATTGCGGCACTATTCACAATAGCAAAGACTTGGAACCAATTCAAATGTCCAAAAATAATAGACTGGATTAAGAAAATGCGGCACATACACACCATGGAATAATAAGCAGCCATAAAAAATGATGAGTTCATGTCCTTTGTAGGGACATGGATGAAATTGGAAATCATCATTCTCAGTAAACTATCGCAAGAACAAAAAACCAAACACTGCATATTCTCACTCTTAGGTGGGAATTGAACAATGAGAACACATGGACACAGGAAGGGGAACATCACACTCTAGGGACTGTTGTGGGGTGGGGGGAGGGGGTAGAGATAGCTTTAGGAGACATATATCATGCTAAATGACGAGTTTATGGGTGCAGCACACCAGCATGGCACATGTATACATATGTAACTAACCTGCACATTGTGCACATGTACCCTAAAACTTAAGATATAATAATAATAATAATAAATACAGAAGCATTCTGAGAAACTTCTTTGTGATGTGTGCATTCATCTCACAGATTTGAACATTTCTTTTTATTGAGAAGTTTGGAAACACTCTTTCTGTAGAATCTGCAAGTGGATATTTGGAGTGCTTTGAGCCCTATAGTGGAAAAAGAAATATCTTCACATACAAACTACACAGAAGCATTCTGAGAAACTTCTTTGTGATGTGCGCATTCAACTCCGATAGTTGAACCTATCGTTTGATTTAGCAGTTTTGAATCTCTCTTTTTTTAGTATCTCCAAGTGGTTATTTGAAGCCCTTTGTGGCCTATTTTAGAAAAGGAAATATCTTCAAATAAAAACTACACCGAAGCACTCTGAGAAACTTCTTTGCGATATGTGCATTGAACTCACAGAACTGAATTTACCTTTTGATAGAGCAGTTTTGAAACTTTCTTTGTGTAGAATCTGCAAGTGTATATTTGGAGCCCTTTGAGGCTTATGGTGGAAAAGGGAATATCTTCACATAAAAACTACACAGAAGCATTCTGAGAAACTTCTTTGTGATGTGTGCATTCATCTCACAGTGTTGAACCTTCGTTTTGATTGAGCAGTTTTGAAACACTCTTTTTGTAGAATCTGCAAGTGGATATTTGGAGCGCTTTGAGGCCTACTTTGGAAAAGGAAATATCTTCACATAAACAATATACAGAAGCATTCTGAGAAACTTCTTTGTGATGTGTGCATTCATCTTGCAGAATTGAACCTATCTTTGGATTGAGCACTTTTTAATCTATCTTTTTGTAGAATCTGCAAGTGGATACTTAGCACGCTTTGAGGCCTACTGTTGAAAAGGAAATATCTTCACAAAATCTAGACAGAAGCATTCTGAGAAAGTTCTTTGTGATGCGTTCATTCCACCCACACACCTGAACATATCTTTTGATAGATGAGTTTTGAAACACTCTTTTTGTAGAATCTGCAAGTGCATATTTTCAGCCCTTCGTGGCGTATGGTGGAAAAGGAAATATCTTCACAGTAAAAGTCCACAGAAGGATTCTCAGAAACTTCTTTGTGTTGTGTCCATTCACCTAGCAGAGTTGAACCTTTCTTTTGATTGAGCAGTCTTGAAACACTCTCTTTTTAGAATCTGCAAGTGGATATTTGGAGAGCTTAGAGGACTACTGTGGAATAGGAAATACCTTCACAAAAAAAAAGTATATAGAAGCATTCTGAGAAACATCTTTGTGATATGTTCATTCATCTCACAGAGTTGAACCTTTCTTTTGATTGAGCAGTTTGGAAACACACTTTTTGTAGAATCTGCAAGTGGATATTTGCAGCACTTTGAGGCCTATGGTGGAAACGGGAATATCTTCACATAAAAACTACACAGAAGCATTCTGAGAAACTTCTTTGGGATGTGGCCATTCATCTCACAGAGTTGAATATTTCTGTTGATTGAGCAGTTTCGAATCTCTCTTTTTGTAGAATGTTCATTTGGATATTTGGAGCCCTTTGCAGCCTATTTTGGAAAAAGAAATATCTTCAGAGTAAAACTACACAGAAGAATTCTGAGAAATATCTTTGTGATGTGTACACTCATGTCACAGAGTTGAAACTTTCTTTCGATTGAGCACTTTTGAAACTTTTTTAATAGAATCTGCAAGTGAATGTTTGAAGCGATTTGAGGCCTGTGGTGGAAAAGGAAGTATCTTCATATAAAAACTACACAGAAGCATTCTGAGAAACTTCCTTGTGATGTGTGCATTCATCTCACAGTGTTCAACCTTTCTTTTGATAGAGCAGTTTTGAAACACTCTTTTTGTAGAATCTGTAAGCGGATACTTAGAGCGCTTTGAGATCTATGTTGGAAAAGGGAATATCTTCACATAAAAACTACACAGAAGCATTCTGAGAAACTTCTTTGTGATGTGTCAATTTGACTCACAGAGTTGAATCTATCTTTTGATTGCACGGTTTTGAATCTCTCTTTTTGTAGAATCTGCAAGTGGATATTTGGATCCCTTTGTGGCCTATTTTTGTAAAGGAAATATCTTCAAATAAAAACTACACGGAAGCATTCTGAGAAACTTCTGTGTGACGTGTGCATTCATCTCACAGAATTGAACATTTCTTTTGATTGAGCCGTTTTGAAACACTCTTTTTGAAGAATCTGCAAGTAGATATTTGAAGTGCTTTGAGGCCTATTGTGGAAAAGGAAATATCTTTGCATAAAAACTACACAGAAGCATTCTGAGAAACTTCTTTTTGATGTATGCATTCATCTCACAGAGTTGAACTTTTGTTTTGATTGAGCTGTTTTGAAACACTCTTTTGTAGCATCTGCAAGTGGATATTTGGAGCACTTTGAGGCCAATCATGGAAAAGGAAATATCTCCATATAAAAACTACAAAGAAGCATTCTGAGAAACTTCTTTGTGATGTGTGCATTCAACTCACAGAGTTGAATCTTTCTTTTGATGGAGAAGTTTTGAAACTCTCTTTTTGTAGCATCTGTAGGTGGATATTTGGAGCCCTTTGCAGGCTATGGTGGAAAAGGAAATATCTTCACATAAAAACTACACAGAAGCATTCTGAGAAACTATTTTCTGATGTGTGAATTCATCTCACAGAGTTGAAACTTTCTTTTGATTGGGCAATTATGAAACACTCTTTTTATAGAATCTGGAAGTGGATATTTGAAGCCCTGTGCAGCCTATTGTGGAAAGGGAAATATGTTCTCAGAAAACTACACAGAAGCATTCTGAGAAACTGCTTTTTGATGTGTGCATTCATCTCATGGAGTTGAACCTTCGTTTTGATTGAGCAGTTTTGAAACACTCTTTTTGTAGAATCTGCAAGTGGATATTTGCAGGGCTATGAGGACATATTTCAAAATAGTAAGAACTATCTATAACAAACCCACAGCGAATACGATATTGAATGGGCAAAAACTGAAAGGATTCCCTTTGAAAACTGGCACAAGACAGGGATGCCCTCTCTCACCACTCTTATGCAACATAGTGTTGGAAGTTCTGGCCAGGGCAATTATACAGGAGAAGGAAATAAATGGTATTCAATTAGGAAAATAGGAGGTCAAATTGTCCCTGTTTGCAGACGACATGATTGTATATCTAGAAAACCCCATTGTCTCAGCCCAAAATCTCCTTAAGCTGATAAGCAACTTCAGCAAATTCTCAGGATACAAAATCAATGTACAAAAATCACAAGCATTCTTATACACCAATAACAGACAAACAGAGAGCGAAATCATGAGTGAACTCCCATTCACAATTGCTTCAAAGAGAATAAAATACATAGGAATCCAACTTACAAGGGAGGTGAAGGACCTCTTCAAGGAGAACTACAAACCACTGCTCAAGGAAATAAAAGAGGATACAAACAAATGGAAGAACATTCCATGCTCATCGGTAGGAAGAATCAATATCGTTAAAATGGCCATACTGCCAAAGGTAATTTACAGATTCAATGCCATCCCCATCAAGCTATCAATCAATTTCTTCACAGAATTGGAAAAAAACTATTTTAAAATTCGTGTGGAATCAAAAAAGAGCCCACATCGCCAAGTCAATCCTAAGCCAAAAGAACAAAGCTGGAGGCATCACACTACCTGACTTCAAACTATACTACAAGGCTACAGTAACCAAAACAGCATGGTACTGGTACCAAAACAGAGATATAGATCAATGGAACAGAACAGAGCCCTCAGGAATAATGCCACATATCTACAACTATCTGATCTTTGACAAACCTGAGAAAAACAAGCAATGGGGAAAGGATTCCATATTTAATAAATGGTGCTGGGAAAACTGGCTAGCCATATGTAGAAAGCTGAAACTGGATCCCTTCCTTACACCTTATTCAAAAATCAATTCAAGGTGGAATCAAGACTTAAACATTAGACCTAAAACTATGAAAATCCTAGAAGAAAACCTAGGCATTACCATTCAGGACATAGGCATGGGGAAGGACTTCTTATCTAAACCACCAAAAGCAATGGCAACAAAAGACAAAATTGACAAATGGGATCTAATTAAACTAAAGAGCTTCTGCACAGCAAAAGAAACTGCCATCAGAATGAACAGGCAACCTACAAAATGGGAGAAAATTTTCACAACCTACTCTTCTGACAAAGGGCTAGTATCCAGAATCTACAATGAACTCAAACAAATGTACATGAAAAAAACAAACAACCCCATCAAAAAGTGGGCAAAGGACATAAACAGACACTTCTGAAAAGAAGACATTTATGCAGCCAAAAAACACATGAAAAAATGCTCACCATCACTGGCCATCAGAGAAATGCAAATCAAAACCACAATGAGATACCATCTCACACCAGTTAGAATGGCAATCATTAAAAAGTCAGAAAAAACAGGTGCTGGAGAGCATGTGGAGAAATAGGAATACTTTTACACTGTTGGTGGGACTGTAAACTAGTTCATCCATTGTGGAAGTCAGTGTGGCGATTCCTCAGGGATCTAGAACTAGAAATACCATTTGACCCAGCCATCCCATTACTGGGTATATACCCAAAGGACTATAAATCATGCTACTATAAAGCCACATGCACACGTATGTTTATTGTGGCATTATTCACAATAGCAAAGACTTGGAACCAACCCAAATGTCCAACAATGATAGACTGGATTAAGATAATGTGGCACATATACACCATGGAATACTATGCAGCCATAAAAAATGATGAGTTCATGTCCTTTGTAGGGACTTGGATGAAATTGGAAATCGTCATTCTCAGTAAACTATCACAAGAACAAAAAACCAAACACCGTATATTCTCACTCATAGGTGGGAATTGAACAATGAGAACACATGGACACAGGAAGGGGAACATCACACTCTGAGGCCCGTTGTGGGGTGGGGGGATAAGGATAGCATTGGGAGATATACCTAATGCTAGATGACGAGTTAGTGGGTGCAGCAGACCAGCATGGCACATGTATACATATGTAACTAACTTGCACATTGTGCACATGTACCCTAAAACTTAAAGCATAATAATAAAAGTAAATAAATAAATAAATAAATAAAAGCTAAAATCTCTTCAAAAAAAAGAAAAACTAGACAGAAGCATTCTGAGAAACTTCTTAGTGATGTGTGTGTTCATCTCACCGAGTTCAAATTTTCTTTTGATAGACCAGTTTTGAAATACTCTTTTTGTAGAATCTACAAGTGGATATTTGGGGCGATTTGAGGCCTATGTTGGAAAAGGAAATATCTTCATATGAAAACTAGACAGAAGCGTTCTGAGAAACGTCTTAGTTATGTGTGTATTCATCTCAGAGAGTTGAACCACACTTTTGATTGAGCAGTTTGGAAACAGTCTTTTTGTCATATCGGCATGTGGATATTTGGAGCACTTTGATGCCTATGGTGGAAAGGGAAATACCTTAACATAAAAATTAGACAGAAGCATTCTGAGAAACTCCTTTGTGATGTTTGCATTCATCTCACAGAGTTCAACCTTTCCTTTGAGCAGTTTTGAAACACTCTTTTTGTAAAATCTGCTAGTGGATATTTGGAACGCTGTGAGGCCTATGGTGGAAAAAACATACCTTCACATAAGAACTGTGAAGCAGGTTTCCTAAAAACAGCCTTGTGATGTGTGCATTCATCTCACAGAGGTAAGCATTTCTTTTCTCTGATCAGTCTGGAAACTCTGTTCTTGTACAATCTGAAAAGGAGTATTTTTGATCACTTTGAGGCCTATGTTGACAAAGGAAATATCTTCACATACAAAGTATAAGGAAAGATTCTGAGATACCTCTTTGTGATATGTGCATTCATCTCACAGATTTGAACCTCTCTTTTGCTTCAGCAGTTTGGAAACAGTATTTTTGCAGAATCTGCAAACGGATATTTTTGAGCACTTTGAGGCCTATGCAGAAAAAGAAGTATCTTCACAGAAAACTATAAAGAAGTTTTCTGAGAAACTGTTTTGTGATGTCTGCTTTCATCTCACAGAGTTAAACGATTCTTTTCTTTGATAATATGGCAAACTCTGTTGTTTTAGAATCTGCTAAGGGATATTTTTGAGTTCATAGAGCCCTATGGTGAAAAAGGAATTGTCTTCACATAAAAACTAAACAGAAGCATCCTGAGAAACTTCTTGGTGATGTGTGCATTCATCTCACAGAATTGAAACTTTCTTTTGATTGAGCAGTTTGGAAACGTCTTTTTGTGGAATCTGTAAAGGGATATTTCTGAGCACTTTGAGGCCTATGGTGAAAGAGAAAATATCTTCACATAAAAACCAGACTAAAGAATTCTGACAAACTGCTTTGTGATGTATGCATTCATCTCACAGAGTTCAACAATTCTTTTGATTGAGCAGTTGGGAAACCGTCTTTTTGTAGAATCTGCAAAGGTATATTTGTGAGTGCTTTGAGGTCTATGGTTAAAAAGAAATATCTTCACATAAAAACTATAAAGAAGGTTTGTGAGAAACTTCTTTGTGATGTGTGCATTCATCTCACAGATTTGAACCATTCCTTTCATTCAGCAGTTTGGAAACAGTCTTTTTTTAGGATCTGTAAAGGGATATTTTTGAGCACTTTGAGGCCCATGGTGAAAAAGGAAACACACTCACATAAAAACAAGATAGAAGATTTCTGAGAAATATCTTTTTGATATATACATTCATTCCATAGAGATGAAACTTTCTTTTGATGAGCAGTTTGGAGACAGTATTTTGTAGAATTTCCAAAGTGTTATTAGTTTAGCGCTTTGTGTCCTGTGTTGAAAAAGGAATTATCTTTACATAAATACTAGACAGAATATTTCTGAGAAACTGCTTTGTGATGTGTGCTTTCATCCCACAGAGGTAACTATTTCCCTTCATTGAGCAGATTGGAAATTCTGTTCTTGTAAAATCTGCAAAAGGATATTTGTCAGCGCTTTGAGGTTTATGGTGAAAAAGGAATTATCTTCACGTAAACACTAGACAGAAGCTTTCTGTGAAACATCTTGGAGATGTGAGAATTCATCTCACAAAGTTGAAACATTCTTTTGATTGAGCAGTTTGTAAACAGTACTTTGGTAGGTAGAATCTGCAAAGGGATATTTGTGATGCTTTGAAGCCTATGGTGGAAAAGGAAATATTTTCACATGAAAACTAGAGAGAAGCTTTCTGAGAAACCTCCTTGTGATGGGTGCATTCATCGCACAGATTTGAACCTCTCTTTGAATTGAGCAATTTGGATACAGTATTTTTGTAGAATCTGTAAAGGCATATTTTTGAGAGCTATGAGACCTAAGATGAAATAGGAGATATCTTCACATAAAAACTAAACAGCTTTCCGAGAAACTTCTTTGTGATGTTTGCATTCATCTCATAGAGTTCAACCATTCTTTTGATTGAACAGTTTGGAAACAGTCTTTTTGTAGAAACTGCAAAGGGATATTTATGAGTGCTTTAAGACCTATGATGAAAAAGGAAATATATTCACATAAAAAGTATAAACAAGGTTTCTCAGAAACAGCTTTGTGATGTATGCACTCATCTCACAGAGGTTAATGTTTCTTTTCTCTGGTCAGTCTGGCAACTGTTCTCGTAGAGTCTGCAAAGGGATATTTGTGAGTGCTTTGAGGCCTATGGTGAAAAAGGAAATATCTTCACATAATAATTAGAGAGAGGCTTTCTGAGAAACCTCTTTGTGATGTGAGCATTCATCTCACAAAGATGAAACTTACTTTTGATTGAGCAGTATGGAAACCGTCTGTTTGTGGAATCTGCAAAGGGATATTTATGAGCGCTTTGAGGTCAATGGTGAAAAAGGAAATATATTCATATAAAATGTATAAAGAAGGGTTCTTAGAAACAGCTTTGTCATGTGTGCACTGATCTCACAGAAGTAAACGTTTATTTTCTCTGATCAGTCTGGAATCTCTGTTCTTGTATAATCTGCAAAGGGATATTTGTGAGTGCTTTGAGGCCTATGGTGAAACAGGAAATATCTTCACTTAAAAACTAGACAGAAGCTTTCTTAGTGGCTTCTTTGTGAGGTGTGCAATCATCTCACAGAGTTGAACCATTCTTTTGATTGAGCAGTCTGGAAACAGTCTTTTTGTAGAATCTGCAAGGAATATTTGTCAGAACTTTGAGTGCTATGGTGCAAAAGGTAATATCTTCACATAAAAAATGAACAGAAGATTTCTGAGAAACCTCGTTGTAAAGTGTGCATTCATCTCACAGAGTTTAAACATTTTTTTGATTCAGCAGGTGGGAAGCAGTCTTTTTGCAGTATCTGCAAAGGGATATTGCTGAGCACTTTGAGGCCTATGGTGAAAAAGGAAATATCTTCATATAAAAACTATAAAGAAGGTTTCTGAGAAACTTCTTTGTGACGTATGCATTCATCTCATGGAGTTGAACTATTTTTTTGATTGTGCAGTTTGGAAACAATCTTTTTGTAGAATCTGCAAAGGGATATTTTTGAGCTCTTTGAGTCCTACGGAGAAAAAAGAAATATCATCACACAAAAAGTATAAAGAAGGTTCTGAGAAACAGTTTTGTGATGTGTGCATTCATCTCACAGAGAAAAACGTTTGTTTTCTTTGATCAGTCTGGAAATTCTGTTCTTGTAGAATCTGCTAAGGGATATTTGTGAGCAGATGGAGGCCTGTGGTGAAAAAGGAAATGTCTTCATATAAAAATTAGACAGAATCCTCCTGCGAAACTTCTCAGTGATGTATGCATTCAGCTCACAAAGTTGAAACTTTCTTTTCATTGAGCCGTTTGGAAACAGTTTTTTTGTAGAACCTGAAAATGGATATTTGGAGCATTTTGAGGCTAATGGTGAAAAAGGAAATATATTCACATAAAAACCAGACTGAAGGTTTCTGAGAAACTTCTTTGAGATGTGTGCATTCATCTCAAAAAGTTCAATAATTCTTTTTATTGAGCAGTTTGGAAACAGTCTTTTTGTAGAATCTGCAAAGAGATATTTGTGAGGGCTTTGAGGCCTATGATGAAAAAGGAAATATCTTCACAGAAAAACTATAAAGAAGGTTTCTGAGAAACTCCTTTGTGATGTGTGCATTCATCTCACACAGTTCAACCTTTCTTTTGGTTGAGCGGTTTGGAAATAGTCTTTTTAAATATTCCTCAACTGGATATTTGTGAGCACTTTGAGGCTCATGGTGAAAAAGGAAACATTCACATGAAAACTTAATAGAAGCTTTCTGAGAAACTTCTTTTTGACACTTGCATTCATCTCACAGAGGTGAACCTTTCTTTTGATAAGCACTGTGGAAACAAACTTTTTGTAGAATCTGCAAAGCAACAATTTTGAGCACTTTGCATCCTGTGGTGAAAAAGGAGATAACTTCACATAAAAACTAGACAGAATGTTTCTCAGAAACTGCTTTGTGATATGTGCATTCATCTCCAAGATGTGTCTCTTTCTTTTCATTGAGAAGATTGGAAACTCTTTTCTTGTAAAAACTGCAAAGGGATATTTGTGAGCCCTTTGAGGCGTATGGTGAAAAAGGAAATATCTTCACATAAAAACTACACAGAAGCTTTCTGAGAAACATCCTGGTGATGTGAGCATTCACCTCACAGAGATGAAACATTCTTTTGATTGAGCAATGTGTAAAGAGTCTTTTTGTAGAATCTGCAAAGGGATATTTGTGAACACTTGGAGGCCTATGGTGAAAAAGGAAATATCTTCATGTAAAAACTAGAGAGAAGCTTTCTGAGAAACCTCTTTGTGGTGTGCATACATCTCACAGGATTGAACCTTTCTTTTGATTGAGCAATTTGGAAAAAGTATTTTTGTAGAATATCTAAAGGGATATTTGTGAGCACTTTGAGGCCTATGGTGAAAAAGCAAGTATCTTCACATAAAAACTAGACAGAAGCATTCTGAGAAACTTCTTCATGATGTGTGCATTAATCACACAGAGTTGAAACTTTGTTTTGATTGAGCCGTTTGGAAACAGTCTTTTTGTAGAGTCTGCAAATGGACATTTGGAGCGCTTTGAGGACTATGGTGTAAAAGGAAATATATTCACATAAAAACCAGACTGAAGGACTCTGAGAAACCTCTTTGAGCTGTGTGCATTCATCTCACAGTGTTCAATAATTCTTTTTATTGAGCGGTTTGGAAACAGTCTTTTTGTAGAATCTGCAAAGGGATATTTGTGAGGGCTTTGAGGCCTATGGTGAAAAAGGAAATATCTTCACAGAAAAACCATAAAGAACGTTTCTGAGAAACTTCTTTGTGATGTGTGCATTCATCTCACAGAGTTGAATCATTTTTTGGATTGAGCAGTTTGCAAACAGTCTTTTTGTAGAATCTGCAGAAGGATATTTGTAGCGCTTTCAGGCCTATGGTGAATAAGGAAATATCATCACATAAAAACTAGACAAAAGTTTTCTGAGAAACTTTTTGAGATGTGTGCATTTATCTCATAGAGTTTAACATTTGTTTTGATTGAGCAGTTTGGAAAGTCTTTTTGTACAATCTGCAGAGGGATATTTAGGTGTGTGTTGAGGCCTATGGTGAAAAAGGAAATATCTTCACATAAAAACTAGAAAGAAGCATTCTGAGAAGCTGCTTTAAGATATGTGTATTCATCTCACAGAAGTAAACCTTTCTTTTCATTGAGCAGTTCATAAACTCTGTTATTCTAGAGTCTGCAAAGGGATATTTTTGAGTGCTTTGAGACCCACGTTGAAAAAGGAACTATCTTCACCTAAAAACTAGTGAGAAGCTTGCTGAGAAACTACTTTCTGATGTGTGCATTCATCTAACAGAGTTGAAACTTTCTTTTGATTGAACACTTTGGAAACAGTATTTTTGTAGATTCTGCAGAGGTATATTTGGGAGTGCGTTGAGGCCTATATTCAAAAAGGAAATCTCTTCACATAAAAACGGGAAGGAAGTTTTCTGAGAAACTTCTTTGTGATGTGCACATTCGTCTCACAGGGTTGAACCATTCTGTTTATTGAGCAGTTTAGAAACAGTCTTTTTGTAGAATCTGCAAAGGGATACCTGGGAACACATTGAGGCATATGGTGAAAAAGGAAATATCTTCACATTAAAAGTAGAAAGAAGTTTTCTGACTAACTCCTTTGTGACGTGTGCATTCATCACACACAAGTAAAAGTTTCTTCCCATTGAACTGTTAGTTTTTATGTGAAGATATTTCCGTTTTCACCATAGACCTCAAACTGCCTACATATATCCCTTTGCAGATTCTATGAAAAGACTGTTTCCAAACTTCTCAATCAAAGAAAGCTTCCACTCTGTGAGATGAATGCACACGTCACAGAGAAGTTTCTCAGAAAGTTTCTGTCTAGTTTTATTTGTTGATACTCCCTTTTTCACCATAGGCCTGAAACTGCTCATAAATAACCCTTTGCAGATTCTACAAAAAGACTATTTCCAAACTACTCAATCAAAAGAAAGGTTCAACTCTGTGAGGTGAATGCACACATCACAAAGAAGTTTCTCAGAAAGCTTCCAGCCAGTTTTTATGTGAAGATATTTCCTTTTTCACCATAAGTCTTAAAGCATTCAAATTATCACTTTGCAGAGTCTACAAAAAGACTTTTTCCAACCTGCTCTAACTAAAGAAAGGTTCAACTCTGTGAGAAGAATGCACACACCAAAAATAAGTTTCTCGCAATGCTTCTGTCTAGTTTTTATGTGAAGACATTTCCTTTTTTACCATAGGCCAAAAAGGGATCTCAAATATCCCTTTGTACATTCTACAAAGGACTGTTTCCAACTGCTCAATCCAAAGACAGGTTCAACTCTTTGGGAAGAATGCACACATCACAACGAAGTTTCTCAGAAACTTCTGTCTAGTTTTTGTGTGAAGATATTTCTTTTTTCACCATAGGCTTCAAAGGGCTCACAAATATCGCAAAGCAGATTCTACAAAAAGACTATCCAAGCTGGTCAATGAAAAGAACACTTCAAATCTGTGAGATGAATGAGCACATCTCAAAGAATTTTCTCAGAAACCTTCTATCTAGTTTTTATGCAAAGATATTTCCGTTTTCACGATAGACCTGAAACTGCCTACATATATCCCTTTGCAGATTCTACAAAAAGACTGTTTCCAAGCTGCTCAATTAAAGAAAGTTTTTACTCTGTGAGATGAATGCACACATCACAGAGAAGTTTCTCAGAAATTTTCTGTCTAGTTTTTATTTGTCGATACTCCCTTTTTCACCATAGGCCTCAAACTGCTCATAAAGAACCCTTTGCAGATTCTACTAAAGGACTGGTTTCCAACTGCTCAATCAAATGAAAGTTCAGCTGTGTGAGATGAATGCACACATCACAAAGAAGTTTCTCAGAACGTTCCTGTCTTAGCTTTTATGTGAAGATACTTCTTTTTCACCATAAGCCTCAAAGCATTCACAAATTTTCCTTTGCAGATTCTATAAAAAGACTGTTTCCAAACTGCTCAATCAAAAGAAAGGTTCAGTTCTGTGTGATGAATGCACACATCACAAAGAAGTTTCTCAGAAGGGTTCTGTCTAGATTTTATTTGTGGAGATTTCCTTTTTCACAATAGGCCTCAAAAAGCTCACAAATATCCCTTTGCATATTCTACAAAAAGACTGTTTCTAAACTGCTCAATGAAAGAAAATTCAACTCTGTGAGATGAATGCACGCAACACAAAGTGATTTCTCAGAATGCTTCTGTCTAGTGTTTATATGAAGATATTTCCTTTTTGCCACATGCCTCACACTGCTCAAAAACATCCCTTTGCAGATTCTCCAAAAAGACTGTTTCCAAACTGCTCAATCAAAAGAAAGATTCAACCCTTTGAGATGCATGCACCCATTACAAAGAAGTTTCCCAGGAAACATGAGTCTAGTTTTTATGTGAAGATATTTCCTTTTTCAACATAAGCCTCAAACAATTCACAAATATCACTTTGCAGGTTCTACGAAAAGACTGTTTCCAAACTGCTCAATCAAAAGAAAGTTTCAACCCTGTGAGATGAATGTACACATCACAAAGATGTTTTTCAGAAAGCTGCTCTCTACATTTTATTCTTTGACATTTCCTTTTTCACCAAAGGACTCAAATCGCTGAAACCCATCTGTTTGCAGATTCTACAAAACGACTGTTTTCAAACAGCCCAATCAAAAGAAAGGTTCAACTCTGTGAGATGAATGCACACATCACAAAGAAGTTTCATAGACACCTCTTATTATTTTGAGATACGTCCTATCAATACCTAATTTATTGACAGTTTTTAGCATGAAGCTTTGTTGAATTTTGTCAAAGGCCTTTTCTGCACCTATTGAGATAATCATGTGGTTTTTGTCTTTGGTTCTGTGTATATGTTGGATTACATTTATTGATTTGCTTATATTGAACCAGCCTTGCATCCCAGGGATGAAGCCCACTTGATCATGGTGGATAAGCTTTTTGATGTGTTGCTGGATTCTGTTTGCCAGTATTTTATTGAGGATTTTTGCATCAACGATCTTCAAGGATATTGGTCTAAAATTCTCTTTTTTGGTTGTATATCTGCCAGGCTTTGGTATCAGGATGATGCTGGCCTCATAAAATGAGTTAGGGAGGATTCCCTGTTTTTCTATTGATTGGAATAGTATCAGAAGGAATGGTAACAGTTCCTTCTTGTACCTCTGGTAGAATTCGGTTGTGAATCCATCTGATCCTGGACTCTTTTTGGTTGGTAAGCTAATGATTATTGCCACAATTTCAGCTCCTGTTATTGGTCTATTCAGAGATTCAACTTCTTCCTGGTTTAGTCTTGGGAGGGTGTATGTGTTGAGGAATTTATCCATTTCTTCTAGATTTTCTAGTTTATTTGCATAGAGGTGTTTGTAGTATTCTCTCAAGGTGGTTGGAATTTCTGTGGGATCGGTGGTAATATCCCCTTTATCATTTTTTATTGCGTCTATTTGATTCTTCTCTCTTTTCTTCTTTATTAGTCTTGCTTCCAGTCTATCAATTTTGTTGATCCTTTCAAAAAACCAGCTCCTAGATTCATTAATTTTTTGAAGGGTTTTTTGTGTCTCTATTTCCTTCAGTTCTGCTCTGATTTTAGTTATTTCTTGCCTTCTGCTAGCTTTTGAAAGTGTTTGCTCTTGCTTTTCTAGTTCTTTTAATTGTGATGTTAGGGTGTCAATTTAGGATCTTTCCTGCTTTCCCTTGTGGGCATTTATGCTATAAATTTCCCTCTACACACTGCTTTGAATGTGTCCCAGAGATTCTGGTATGTTGTGTCTTTGTTCTCTTTGGTTTTATGCTGCTATAAAGACACATGCCCACGTATGTTTATTGTGGCACTATTCACAATAGCAAAGACTTGGAAGCAACCCAATGTCCAACAATGATAGACTGGATTAAGAAAATGTGGCACATATACCCTATGGAATACTATGCAACCATAAAAAATGATGAGTTCATGTCCTTTGTGGGGACATGGATGACATTGGAAATCATCGTTTTCAGTAAACTATCACAAGGACAGAAAACCAAACACCACATGTTCTCACTCATAGGTGGGAATTTAACAATGAAAACACATGGACACAGGAAGGGGAACATCACACTCTGGGGACTGTTGTGGGGTGAGGGGAGGGAGGAGGGATAGCATTATGTGACATACCTAATGCTAAGTGTCGAGTTAAAGGGTGCAGCACACCAGCATGGCACATGTATACATATGTAACTAACCTGCACATTGTGCACTTGTACCCTTAAACTTAAAGTATAATAATAATAAAATAAAAAAATAAAATAAAATAAAATAAAATAAAATAAAAAGAAAGTGCACATCACAAAGAAGTTTCTCAGAAAGTTTCTTTCTAGTTTTCATGTGAACATATTTCCTTTTTCACCATAGTCCACAAAGTGCACAAAATATCTTTTGCAGATTGTACAAAAAGACTTTTTCCAAACTGCTCAATCAAAAGAAAGGTTCAACTCTGTGAGATGAAAGCACAAATCACAAAGAAGTTACTCAGAAAGCTTCCGTCTAGTTTTTAATTGAAGGAATTTCCTGTTACACCATGGGCCTCAAGGGGCTCACAAATATCCTTTTGCAGATTCTACAAAAAGACTGTTACAGAACTGTTCAATGAAAAGTAAGTTTCAACTCTGTGAGATGAATGCACACCTAAAAAAGAAGTTTCTCAGAATGCTTCTGTCTAGTTTTTATATGAAGATATTTCTTTTTCACCGTAGGCCTCAAACCCCACAGAAATATCCCTTTGCAGATTGTAGATAAAGACTGTTTCTTAACTGCTCCATCAAAAGAACGGTTCAACTCTGTGAGATGAAAGCACACATCACAAAGAAGTTTCTCAGAAATCTTCTGTCTAGTTTTTATGTGAAGATATTTCTCTTCTAATGACAGGCTTCAAAGCAATCCAAATATCGATTTGCAGATTCTACAAAAGACGATTTCCAAACTGCTCAATCAAAAGAAATTTTCAACTCTGTGAGATGAAAGCACACATCACAAAGAAGTTCTTCAGAAAGTTTCTCACTTGATTTTATGTGAAGATATTTAGTTTTTCACCACAAGCCACAAAGCACTCCAAATATCCATTTGCAGATACTTCAAAAAGAGTTTTTCCAAACTGCTCAATCAAAAGAAAGTTTCAACTCTGTGAGATGAATGTAAACATCACAAATCAGTTTCTCAGAATGTTTCTGTTTAGTTTTACTGTGAAGATATTTCCCATTTCACCATGGGCCTCAGTGGGCTCACATATATTCTTTTGCAAATTCCACAAAAAGACTGCTTCCGAATTTCTCAATGAAAAGAATGGTTTGCCAACTTGGTTCCATTCTCCCCGTGACATTCAGGTACACCAATCAGACGTAGATTTGGACTTTTCACATAGTCCCATATTTCTTGGAGGCTTTGCTCATTTCTTTTTATTCTTTTTTATCTAAACTTCCCTTCTCGCTTCATTTCATTCATTTCATCTTCCATCGCTGATACTCTTTCTTCCAGTTGATTGAATCAGTTTCTGAGGCTTCTGCATTCTTCACGTAGTTCTCAAGCCTTGGTTTTCAGCTCCATCAGCTCCTTTAAGACTTCTCTGTATTGTTTATTGTAGTTATAGACTCTTCTAAATTTTTTTCAATGTTTTCAACTTCTTTGCCTTTGGTTTGGATGTCCTCCCATACCTCGGAGTAATTTGATCATCTGAAGCCTTCTTCTCTCAGCTCGTCAAAGTCATTCTCCATCCAGTTTTGTTCTGTTGCTGGTGAGGAACTGCATTCCTTTGGAGCAGGAGAGGTGCTCTGTTTTTTAGAGTTTCCAGTTTTTCTGCTCTGTTTTTTCCCCATCTTTGTGGTTTTATCTACTTTTGGTCTTTGATGATGGTGATGTACAGATGGGTTTTTGGTGTGGATGACATCTCTGTTTGTTAGTTTTCCTTCTAACAGACAGGACCCTCAGCTGCAGGTCTGCTGGAGTACCCGGCCGTGTGAGGTGTCAGTCTGCCCCTGCTGGGGAGTGCCTCCCAGTTAGGCTGCTCGGGGTCAGGAGTCAGGGACCCACTTGAGGAGGCAGTCTGCCAGTTCTCAGATCTCCAGCTGTGTGGGGAACCACTGCTCTCCTCAAAGCTGTCAGACAGGGACATATAAGTCTGCAGAGGTTACTGCTGTCTTTTTGTTTGTCTGTGCCCTGCCCCCAGAGGTGGAGCCTACAGAGGCAGGCCTCCTTGAGCTGTGGTGGGCTCCACAAAGTTCGAGCTTCCCGTCTGCTTTGTTTAACTAAGCAAGCCTGGGCAATGGCGGGCACCCCTCCCCCAGCCTCGCTGCCGCTTTGACATTTGATCTCAGACTACTGTGCTAGCAATCAGCAAGACTCCGTGGGCATAGGACCCTCCAATCCAGGAGCAGGATATAATCTCCTGGTGCGCCTTTTTTTAAGACCATCGGAAAAGTGCAGTATTCGGGTGGGAGTGACCTGATTTTACAGGTGCCGTCTGTCACCCCTTTCTTTGACTAGGAAAGGGAACTCCATGACCCCTTGTGCTTCCCGAGTGAGGCAATGGCTCGCCCAGCTTCAGCACGTGCATGGTGAACACACCCACTGACCTGCACTCACTGTCTGGCACTCCCTAGTGAGATGAACCCAGTACCTCAGATGGAAATGCAGAAATCACCTGTCTTCCGTGTTGCTCAGGCTGGGAGCTGTACACCAGAGCTGTTTCTATTCAGCCATCTTGGCTCCTCCTCCCCTACTCTGCAGGATATTATCCAGGAGAAATTCCCCAATCTAGCATGGCAGGCCAACATTCAGATTCATGAAACACAGAGAACACCACAAAGATACTCCTCGAGAAGAGCAACTCCAAGACACATCATTGTCAGATTCACCAAAGTTGAAATGAAGGAAAAAATGTTAAGGGCAGCCAGAGAGAAAGATTGGGTTACCCTCAAAGGGAAGTCCATCAGACTAACAGCGGATCTCTTGGCAGAAACCCTAGAAGCCAGAAGAGAGTGGGGGCCAATATTCAACATTCTTAAAGAAAAGAATTTTCAACCCAGAATTTCATATCCAGCCAAACTAAGCTTCATAAGTGAAGGAGAAATAAAATCCTTTACAGACAAGCAAATGCTGAGAGATTTTGTCACCACCAGGCCTGCCCTAAAAGAGCTCCTGAATGAAACGCTAAACATGGAAAGGAACAACCAGTACCAGCCACTGCAAAATCATGCCAAAATGTAAAGACCATAGAGACTAGGAAGAAACTGCATCAACTAACGAGCAAAATAACCAGCTAACATCATCATGACAGGATCAAATTCACACATAACAATATTAAATTTAAATGTAAATGGACTAAATGCTCCAATTAAAAGACACGGACTGGCAAATTGGATAAGGAGTCAAGACCCATCAGTGTGCTGTATTCAGGAAACCCATCTCATGTGCAGAGACACACATAGGCTCAAAATAAAAGGATGGAGGAAGATCTACCAAGCAAATGGAAAAGAAAAAAAGGCAGGTTTTGCAATCCTAGTCCCTAATAAAACAGACATTAAACTAACAAAGATCAAAACAGACAAAGAAGGCCATTACATAATGGTAAAGGGATCAATTCAACAAAAAGAGCTAACAATCCTCAATATATATGCACCCAATACAGGAGCACCCAGATTCATAAAGCATGTCCTGAGTGAACTACAAAGAGACTTAAACTCCCACACATTAATAATGGGAGATTTTAACACCCCGCTGTCAACATTAGACAGATCAATGAGACAGAAAGTCAACAAGGATATCCAGGAATTGAACTCAGCTCTGCACCAAGAGGACCTAATAGACATCTACAGAACTCTCCACCACAAATCAACAGAATGTATATTATTTTCAGCACCACACCACACTTATTCCAAAATTGACCATGTAGTTGGAAGTAAAGCTCTCCTCAGCAAATGTAAAAGAACAGAAATTATAACAAACTATCTCTCAGACCACAGTGCAATCAAACTAGAACTCAGGATTAAGAATCTCACTCAAAACCACTCAACAACATGGAAACTGAACAACCTGCTCCTGAATGACTACTGGGTACATAACGAAATGAAGGCAGAAATAAAGATGTTCTTTGAAACCAACGAAAACAAAGACACAATATACCAGAATCTCTGGGACGCATTCAAAGCAGTGTGTAGAGGGAAATTTATAGCACTAAATGCCCACAAGAGAAAGCAGGAAAGATCCAAAATTGACACCTTAATATCACAATTAAAACAACTAGAAAAGCAAGAGCAAACACATTCAAAAGCTAGCAGAAGGCAAGAAATAACTAAAATCAGAGCAGAACTGAAGGAAATAGAGACACAAAAAACCCTTCAAAAATTAATGAATCCAGGAGCTGCTTTTTTGAAAGGATAAACAAAATTGATAGACCACTAGCAGGACTAATAAAGAAAAAAAGAGAGAAGAATCAAATAGATGCAATAAAAAATGATAAAGGGGATATCACCACCAATCCTACAGAAATACAAACTACCATCAGAGCATACTACAAACACCTCTACGCAAATAAACTAGAAAATCTAGAAGAAATGGATAAATTCCTTGACACATACACTCTCCCAAGACTAAACCAGGAAGAAGTTGAATCTCTGAATAGACCGATAGCAGGAGTTGAAATTGTGGCATTAATCAATAGCTTACCAACCAAAAAGAGTCCAGGACCAGATGGATTCACAGCGGAATTCTACCAGATGTACAAGAAGGAACTGGTACCATTCCTTCTGAAACTATTCCAATCAATAGAAAAAGAGGGAATCCTCCCTAACTCATTTTATGAGGCCAACATCATCCTGATACCAAAGCCGGGCAGAGACACAGCCAAAAAAGAGAATTTTAGACCAATATCCTTGATGAACATTGATGCAAAAATCCTCAATAAAATACTGGCAAAACGAATCCAGCAGCACATCAAAAAGCTTATCCACCATGATCAAGTGGGCTTCATCCCTGGGATGCAAGCCTGGTTCAATATATGCAAATCAATAAATGTAATCCAGCATATAAACAGAATCAAAGACCAAAACGACATGATCATCTCAATAGATGCAGAAAAGGCCTTTCACAAAATTCAACAACACTTCATGCTAAAAACTCTCAATAAATTAGATATTGATGGGATGCATTTCAAAATAATAAGAGCTATCTATGACAAACCCACAGCCAATATCATACTGAATGGGCAAAAACTGGAAGCATTCCCTTTGAAAACTGGCACAAGACAGGGATGTCATCACTCACCACTCTTATTCAACATAGTGTTGGAAGTTCTGGCCAGGGCAATTAGGCAGGAGAAGGAAGTAAAGGGTATTCAATTAGGAAAAGAGGAAGTCAAATTGTCCCTGCTTGCAGACGACATGATTGTATATCTAGAAAACCCCATTGTCTCAGCCCAAAATCTCCTTAAGCTGATAAGCAACTTCAGCAAAGTCTCAGGATACAAAATCAATGTACAAATTCACAAGCATTCTTATACACCAACAACAGACAAACAGAGAGCCAAATCATGAGTGAACTCCCATTCACAATTGCTTCAAAGAGAATAAAATACCTAGGAATCAAACTTACAAGGGATGTGAAAGACCTCTTCAAGGAGACCTACAAACCACTGCTCAAGGAAATAAAAGAGGATACAAACAAATGGAAGAACATTCCATGCTCATGGGTAGGAAGAATCAATATCTTGAAAATGGTCATACTGCTCAAGGTAATTTACAGATTCAATGCCATTGCCATCAAGCTACCAATCACTTTCTTCACAGAATTGGAAAAAACTACTTTAAAGTTCGTGTGGAATCAAAAAAGAGCCCACATCGCCAAGTCAATCCTAAGCCAAAAGAACAAAGCTGGAGTCATCACACTACCTGACTTCAAACTATACTACAAGGCTACAGTAACCAAAACAGCATGGTACTGGTACCAAAACAGAGATATAGATCAATGGACCAGAACAGAGCCCTCAGAAATAATGCCACATATCTACAACTATCTGATTTTTGACAAACCTGAGAAAAACAAGCAATGGGGAAAGGATTCCATATTTAATAAATGGTGCTGGGAAAACTGGCTAGCCATATGTAGAAAGCTGAAACTGGATCCCTTCCTTACACCTCATTCAAAAATCAATTCAGGATGGATTAAAGACTTAAACGTTAGATCTAAAACCATAAAAACCCTAGAAGAAAACCTAGACTTTACCATTCAGGACATAGGCATGTGCAAGATCTTCGTGTCTAAAACACCAAAAGCAATAGCAACAAAAGCCAAAATTGACATATGGAATCTAATTAAACTAAAGAGCTTCTGCACAGCAAAAGAAACTACCATCAGAGTGAATAGGCAACCTACAAAATGGGAGAAAATTTTTGCAACCTACTCATCTGACAAAAGGCTAATATCCAGAATCTACAATGAACTCAAACAAATTTACAAGAAATAAACAAACAACCCCATCAAAAAGTGGACAAAGGATATGAACAGACACTTCTCAAAAGAAGACATTTATGCAGCCAAAAAACACATGAAAAAATGCCACCATCACTGGCCATCAGAGAAATGCAAATCAAAACCGCAATGAGATATCATCTCACACCAGTTAGAATGGCAATCATTAAAAAGTCAGGAAACAACAGGTGCTGGAGAGCATGTGGAGAAATAGGAATACTTTTACACTGTTGGTGGGACTGTAAACTAGTTCAACCATTGTGGAAGTCAGTGTGGCGATTCCTCAGGGATCTAGAACTAGAAATACCATTTGACCCAACCATCCCATTACTGGGTATACACCCAAAGGACTATAAATCATGCTGCTATAAAGACACATGCATACATATGTTTATTGTGGCATTATTCACAATAGCAAAGACTTGGAACCAACCCAAATGTCCAACAATGATAGACTGGATTAAGAAAATGTGGCACATATACACCATGGAATACAATGCAGCCATAAAAAATGATGAGTTCATGTCCTTTGTAGGGACATGGATGAAATTGGAAATCATCATTCTCAGTAAACTATCACAAGAACAAAAAACCAAACACCGCATATTCTCACTCATCAGTGGGAATTGGACAATGAGAACACATGGAAACAGGAAGGGGAACATCACACTCTGGGGCTTGTCGTGGGTGGGGGGAAGGGGAGGGATAGCATTGGGAGATACAACTTATGTTAGATGACGAGTTAGTGGGTGCAGCGCACCAGCATGGCACATGTATTCATTTGTAATTAACCTGCACATTGTGTACTTGTACCCTAAACTTAAAGTATAATAATAGTAAAAAAGAAAAGAATGGTTTAACTCTGGGAGAAGAATGCATACATGATAAAGAAGTTTCTCAGAATGTCTCTGTCTACTTTTTATGTTAAGATATTTGTTTTTCACCTTAGGCCTCAAAGTGCTCAGAAATATCCCTTTGCAGATTGTACAAAAAGATGGTTTCCAAACTGTTCAATGAAAACAAGGGTTCAACACTGTGACATGAATATGCACATCACAAAGACGTTTTTCAGAAAGCTTCTGTTTAGTTTTTAAGTGAAGATATTTCCTTTTTCACCATAGGCCTCAAAGTGCTCCAAATATCCTTTTGCAGAATCTACAAAAGAAGAGTTTCCAAACTGTTCAATTAAAAGAAAGATTCAAATCTGTGAGAAGAAAGCACACATCACAGAGAAGTTTCTCATAATGCTTCTGTCTATTTTTTTGTGAAGATATTTCCTATATCACCATAGGCCTCAAAGTTCTCACAAATATCCCTTTGCAGACTCTACAAAAACACAATTTTCGAACTGCTCCATGAAAAGAAAGGTTCAGCTCTGTGAGATGAATGCACACATAATAAATTACTTTCTCATAATGCTTTGGTCTAGTTTTTATGTGAAGATATTTCTTTTTCACCATAGGCATCAAACCGTTCAGAAATATTCCTTTGTAGATTGTACAAAAAGACTGTTTCCAAACTGCTCAATCAAAAGAAAGGTTCAAACATGTGAGATGAGTGCACACGTAACAAGAAGTTTCTCAGAAATCTTCTGTCTTGTTTTTATGTGAAGATATTTCCTTTCTCAACATAGGCCTCAAAGCAATCCAAATATCCGTTTGCAGATTCTACAAAAAGACTGTTTCCCAACTGATCAATCAAAACAAATTTTTAGCTCTCTGAGATGAAAGCACACATCACAAAAAAGTTACTCAGATAGCTTCTCTCTAGTTTGTATGTGAAGATATTTCCTATTTCACCTGACGCCATAAAGAGCTCACAAATATCCCTTTGAAGGTTCTACAAAAAGACAGTTTCCAAACTGCTTAATCAAAAGAAAGTTTCAACTCTGTGAGATGAATGGACACATCACAAATAAATTTCTCAGACTGACTCTGTCTAGTTTTTACGTGAAGATATTTCTCTTTCACCATAGGCCTCAAACGGATCAGAATTATCCCTTTGCAGATTGTACAATAATCCTCTTTCCAACCTGCTCAATCAAAAGAAAGGTTCAACTCTGTGAGATGAATGCACACATCACAAGGAAATTTCTCAGAAAGCTTCTGTTTAGTTTTTATGTGAAGATATTTCGTTTTTCACCATGGGCCTCAAAGTGTTCCAAATATCCATTTGCAGATTCTAGAAAAAGAGTTTTTCCATACTCCTCAATCAAAAGAAAGTTTCAATTCTGTGAGATGAAAGCACACATCACAAACAAGTTTCTTAGAAAGCTTCTGTCTAGTTTTTATGTGAAGATATTTCACATTTCACCATAGTACTGAATGGGCTCAGAAATATCTCTTTGCAGATTCTACAAAAAGACTGTTTCCAAACTGCTCAATCCAAAGAAAGTTTCAACTCTGTGAGATTAATGCACACATCACAAAGAAGTTTCTCAGAATGCTTCTGTCTAGTTTATATGTGAAGAAAATTCCTACTTCACCATAGGCAATAAAGGGCTCACAAATATTTTTTGCAGATTCTACAAAAAGACCGTATCCAAACTGCTCAATAAAAAGAAAGTTTCAACTCTGTTAGATTAATGGACACATCAAAGAGTAGTTTCTCAGGAAACTTCTGTTTAGTTTTTATGTGAAGATATTTCCTTTGTCACCAATGGCCTCAAAGCACCCTTAATATCCATTTACAGAGTTCACAAAAAGAGTGTTTCCAAACTGCTGAATCAAAAGAAAGGTTTAACTCTGTGAGATGAAAGCACACATCTCAAAGAAGTTTCTCAGAAAGCTTCGGTCTGGTTTTCATGTGAAGATATTTCCAGTTTCACCATAGGCCTAAAAGGGCTAAGAAATATCCCTTTGCAGATTCTAAAAGAGGATCATTTCCATACTGCTCAATCAAAAGAAAGGTTAAATTCTGTGAGGTGAATGCACACATTAGAATGAAGTTTCTCAGAATTCTTTTGTCTAGTTTTTATGTGAAGATATTTACTATTTCACTATAGGCTTCAAATGTCTCACAAATATATCTTTGCAGATTCTACAAAAATATGGTTGCTGAACTTCTGAATTAAAAGAAACATTCAACTCTGTCAAATGAATGGAGACATCACAAAGAAGTTCCTCAGAATTCTTCTGTCTAGTTTAAATGTGAAGATATTTCTTTTTCACCATAGACCTCAAATGGCTCAGAAATATACCTTTGCAGATTGCAGAAAAAGACTGTTTCTAAACTTCTCAAACAAAATAAAGTTTCAACACTGTGAGATGAATGCACACATCACAAAGAAGTTTCTCAGAAAGCTCCTGTCTAGTTTTTATGTGAAGATATTTCCTTTTTCACCATAGGCCTTAAACTGCTCACAAATATCCTTCTGCAGATACTAAAAAAATACTGTTTCCAAACTGCTCCATCAAAAGAAAAGTTCACCTCTCTGAGATGAATGCACACATCACAAAGAAGTTTCTCAGAATTCTTCTGTCTAGTTTTTATGTGAAGATATTTCCATTTTCACCTTAGGCCACAAAGTGCTCCAAATATCCATTTGCAGATTATACAAAAAGACTGTTTCCAAACTGCTCAATCAAAAGAAATTTTCAACTCTGTGAGATGAAAGCACACATCACAAAGAAGTTTCTCAGAAATCTTCTGCCTAGTTTTTATCTCAAGATAATTCCTATTTCACCATAGGAATCAATGGGCTCACAAATATCCCTTTGCAGATTCTACAAAAGTTCTGTTTCCAAACTGCTCAATCAAAAGAAACGTTCAACATTGTAAGATGAATGCACACATCACAAATAAGTTTCTCAGAATGCTTCTGTCTAGTTATTATGTGAAGATATTTCCTTTTTCACCATAGTCTTTAAACCGCTCAAAAATATCCCTCTGCAGATACTATAAAAAGACTGTTTCCAAACTGGTCCATCAAAGAATGTTTCAACTCTGTGAGATGAATAGACTCATCACAAAGAAGTTTCTCAGAATTCTTCTGTCTAGTTTTTATGTGAAGATATTTCCTTTTTCACCATAGGCCTCAAATCACTCCAAATATCCATTTGCAGATTCTACAAAAAAGAATGTTTCCAAACTGGTCAATCAAAAGAAAGGATCAACTCTGTGAGACTAAAGCACACATCACAAAGAAGTTTCTCAGAAAGCTTCTGTCTACTTTTTATGTGAAGGTATTTCCTTTTGCACCATAGGCCTTAAACTGCTCACAAATATAACTCCACTTATACTACCAAGAGACTTTCTACAAATTGCTAAATCAAAAGAAACGTTCAACTCTGTGAGATGAATGCACACATCACAAAGAAGTTTCTGAAAATGCTTTTCTCTAGTTTTCATGTGAAGATATTTATTTTTCACCATTGGCCTCAAACTGCTCAGAAATATCCCCTTGCAGTTTCTACAAAAAAACTGTTTCCAAACTGCTCACTGAAAAGAAATGGTCAACTCTTAGATATGAATGGAAATGTCACAAAGAGTTTTCTCAAAAAGCTACTGTGTAGTTTTTATGTGAAGATATTTCCTTTTTCACTATAGGCCTTAAAACACTCCAAATATACATTTGCAGATTCTACAAAAAGACTGTTTCCAAACTGCTCAATCAAATGAAAGGTTCAACTCTGTGATACAAACGTGCACACCACAGAGGAGTTTCTCAGAAAGCTTCTGTCTATTTTTTATGTGAAGATATTTCATATTTCAACATAGGCCATAAAGGGCTCACAAATATCCCTTTGTAGATTCTAAGAAAAGACATTTTCCAAACTCCTCAATCAAAAGAAAGGTTTAACTCTGTGAGGTGAATGGACACATCACAAAGAAGTTTCTTAGAAAGCTTCTATCTAGTTTTTATGTGAAGATATTTCTTTTTCACTATAGGCCTCAAACGGCTAAGAAATTTCCCTTTGCAGCTTCTACAAAAGACTGTTTCCAAACTGCTCAATCGAAAGAAAGGTTGAATTCTGTGACATGAATTTACACAACACAAAGAAGTTTCTCAGAAATCTTCTGTCTAGTTTTTATGTGAAGATACTTTCTTTTTCACCATGGGCCTCAAATAGTTCCAAATATCCATTTGCAGATTCAACAAAAAGACTTTCCAAACTGCTCAATCAAAAGAAAGGTTCAACACTGTGAGATGAAAGCACACATCAGAAAGAATTTTCTCAGAAATCTTCTGTCTAGTTTTTATGTGAAGATATTTCATATTTCACCACAGGTCATAAAGGGCTCACAAGTATCCCTTGCAGATTCTACAAAAGGACTGCTTCCAAACTGCTCAATCAAAAGAAAGGTTCAACTCTGTGACATGAATGGACATATCACAAAGAAGTTTCTCAGAATGCTTCTGTCAAGTTTTTATGTGCAGATATTTCGTTTTCACCATAAGCCTCAAATGGCTCAGAAATATACCTTTGCAGATTGTACAAAAAGACTGTTTCCAAGCTGTTCATTCAAAAGAAAGATTCAACTCTGTGAAATGAAAGTGCACATCACAAAGAAGTTTCTCAAAATGCTTCTGTCTTGTTTTTATGTGCATATATTTCCTTTTTAAATGTAGGCCTCAAATCTCTCCAAATATCCGTTTGTAGACTCTTCAAAAATACTGTTTCCAAAGTTATCAATCAAAAGAAAGGTTCAACTCTGTAGGATGAAAGCACACATCACAAAGAAGTTTCTCAGAAAGCTTCTGTCTAGTATTTATGTGAATATATTTCCTATTTCACCATAGAACTCAAGGGGATCACAAATATCCCTTTGCAGATTCTACAAAAAGACTGCTTCCAAACTGCTCAATGAAAAGAAAGGTTCAACTCTGTGAGGTGAATGCACAGGTAAAAAAGACGTTTCTCAGAATGCTTCTGTCAAGTTTTTATGTGAAGTTATTTCTTTTTCACCATAGGCCTCAAACCACTCAGAAATATTCCTTTGCAGATTGCACAAAAAGAATGTCTCCAAACTCCTCAATGAAGAGAGAGGTTCAACTCTTTGAGATGATTGCAAATATCACAAAGAGTTATCTCAAAAAATTTCTGCCTGGTTTTTATGTGAAGATATTTAGTTTTTCACCATAGGCCTCAAACTGCTCACAAATATACCTTTGCAGATTCTACAAAATGACTTGTTCCCAAACTGTTCAATGAAAGAAAGGTTCAAATCTGTGAGATGAAAGCACGCATCACAAAGAAGTTTCTCAGAAAGTTTCTGTCTAGTTTTTATGTGCAGATACTTCCTTTTTCACCTTATGCCTCAAATCACTCCAAATATCTGTTTACAGATTCTACAAAAAGAGTGTTTCCAAACTGCTCAATCAAAGGAAAGGTTCAACTCTGTGAAATGAAAGCATACATCACAAAGAAGTTTCTCAGAATGCTTCTGTCTAGTTATTATGTGAAGATATTTCCTATTTCACTATAGCACTCAAAGGGCTCAGAAGTATCCCTTTGCAGATTCTACAAAAGGACTGCTTCCAAACTGCTCAATCAAAAAAAGGTTCAACCCTGTGAGATGAAAGCACGCATCACAAAGAAGTTTCTCAGAAAGCTTCTGTCTAGTTTTTATGTGAAGATATTTCCTATTTCACCATAGGCCACAAAGGGCTCAGAAATATCCCTTTGCAGATTCTATGAAAAGTCTGTTTCCGAACTACCCAATGAAATGAAAGGTTCAACTCTGTGGGTTGGATGCATATATCACAAAGAAGTTTCCCAGAATGCTTCTGTCTAATTTTTATGTGAAGATATTTCTTTTTCAACATAGGCCTAAAACTGCTCAGAAATATCCCTTTACAGAGTGTGCAAAAAACTGTTTCCAAACTGCTCAATGAAAAGGAAGATTTGACTCTGTGTGATGAATGCAAACATCACAAAGAGGTTTCTCAAAAAGCTTCTCTCTGGTTTTTATGTGAAGGTATTTCCTTTTTCACCATAGGCCTCAAACTACTAACAAATATCCCTTTGCAGATTCTACAAAAAGACTGTTTGCAAACTGCTCAATGAAAAGAAAGGTTAAACTTTGTGTGTCGAAAGCACACATCACAAAGAAGCTTCTCAGAATGCTTTTGTCTAGTTTTATGTGAAAAAGTTTCATTTTTCACCATACACCTCAAAGCGCTCCAAATATCCATTTGCAGATTTTACAAAAAAACTGTTTCCAAATTGCTCAATCAAAAGAACGGTACAGCTCTGTGAGATAAATGCACACATCACAAAGAAGTTTCTCAGAAAACTTCTGTTTAGTTTATATGTGAAGATATTTCCTTTTTCACCATGGGCCTCAAAGAGCTCCAAATATCCACTTGCAGATTCTATAAAAAAAAGTGTTTCCAAACTGCTCAATCAAAATAAAGTTTTAACTTTGTGAGATGAAAGCACACATCACAAAGGAGTTTCTTAGAAACTTTCTATCTAGTTTTTATTTGAAGATATTTCATATTTCAAAATAGGTCTCAATGGGCTCAGAATTATAACCTTACAGATGCCACAAAAAGAGTGTTTCCAAAAAGCTCAATGAAAAGAAAGGTTTAACTCTATAAGATGAATGCGCACATTACAAAGAAGTCTCTCAGAATGCTTCTGTCTAGTTTTTTTGAGAAGCCATTTCCTTTTTCACTATAGGCCTCAGTCTGCTCACTAATAGCCCTCTGCAGATACTACAAAAAGACTCTTTCCAAACTGCTCAATCGAAATGAAGTTTCAAATCTGTGAGATGAAAGCCCACATCACAAAGAAGTTTCTCAGAAAGTTTCTGTCTAGTTTTTATGTGAAGATATTCCCTATTTCACCTTAGGCCTCAAAGGGATCACAAATATCCCTTTTCAGATTCTTCAAAAAACTGTTTCCAAACTGTTTCATCAAAAGAAAGTTTCAACTCTTTGAGATCAATGCACACATAAAAAATTAGTTTCTCAGAATGCTTCCATCAACTTTTTATGTGAAGATATTACTTTTTTACCATAGGTCTCAAACCGTAAACAAATATTCCTTTGCAGATTGCACAAAAAGTATGCTTCCACACTGCTCAATAAACAGAAAGGTTCAACTCAGTGAGATGAATGCAAACATCCAAAGAGTTTTCTGAAAATGCTTCTATCTGGGTTTTAGGTGAAGATATTTACTTTTTCACCATAGGCCTCAAAGCACTCCAAACATCCATTTGCAGATTCCACAAAAAGACTGTTTCCAAACTTCTCAATCAAAAGAAAGGTCAACTCTGTGAGATGAAAGCACACATCAAAAAGAAGTTTCTTGGAAAGCTTCTGTCTTTTTATTTGAGGATATTTCCTATTTCACCACAGGCCTCAAAGGAATCACAAATATCCCTTTGAAGATTCTACAAAAAGACTCTTTCCAAACTACTCAATGAAAAGAAAGTTTCAACTCTGTGAGGTGAATGCACACATAAAATAGAAGTTTCTCAGAATGCTTCTGTCTAGTTTTTATGTGAAGATACTACTTTTCCACCATAGGCCTCAAACCGCTCAGAAATATCCCTTTGCACATTGTATAAAAAGACTGTTTATAGACTGCTCAAAGAAAAGAAAGATTCATCTCTGTCAGATGAATGCACACAAAAGAACTAAGTTTCTCGGAATGCTTCTGTATAGTTTTTATGTGAAGATATTTTATTTTTCACCATAGGCCTTTAACTGTTCACAAATATCCCTCTGCAGATACTACAAAAATACTGTTTCCAAACTGCTCCAAGAAAAGAAAGGTTCAACTCTGTGACATGAAGGCACACAACACAAGGAAATTTCTCAGAATGATTCTGTCTAGTTTTTATGTGAAGATAATTCTTTTTCCCCATAGGCATCAAACGGCTCAGAAATATCCCATTGCAGATTGTACAAAAAGATGGTTTCCAATCTGCTCAATCAAAAGAAAGGATCAGCTCTGTGATATGAATCCACACATCACAAAGAAGTTTCTCAGAAAGCTTCTTTTTAGCGTTTTTGTGAAGATATTTCCTTTTTCACCATAGGCCTAAAAGTGCTGCAAATATCCATTTGCGGATTCTACAAAAAGAATGTTTCCAAGCTGCTTGATCAACAGAAAAGTTCATCTCTGTGAGATGAAAGCACACATCTCAAAGCATTTTCTCAGAAAGATTCTGTCTTATTTTTATGTGAAGATATTTCCTATTTCACCATAGGCTGTAAAGCGCTCACAAATATCCATTTGCATATTCAAAAAAAAAAAGACTCCAAACTGCTCAAAAAAAAGAAAGGTTCAACCCTGTGAGATGAATGCACACATCAGAAACAAGTTTCTCAGAATGCTTCTGTCTAGTTTTGATGTGAAGATATTTCTTTTTCACCATCGGCCTCAAATGGCTCAGAAATATCCTTTTGCTCATTTTACAAAAAGACTGTTTCTAAACTGCTCAATCAAAAGAAAGATTAAACTCTATGAGATGAATGCACACATCACAGGAAGCTTCTCAGAAAGCTTCTGTTTTGTTTTTATTTGAAGATATTTCCTTTTTCACCATAGCCTTCAATGGGCTCAGAAATATCCCTTTGCAGATTCTACAAAAGGACTGTTTAGAAAACTGCTGAATCCAAAGAAAGATTCAACTCTGTGAGATGAATGCACACATCACAAAGAAGTTTCACAGAATGCATCTGTCTAGTTTTTATGTGAAGGTATTTCTTTTTTGACCATAGGCCTCAAAGCACTCCAAATACCCATTTGCAGATTCTACAAAAAGAGTGTTTCCAAACTGCTCAATCAAAAGAAAGGTTCAACTCTGTGACACGGAAGCACACGTCACAAAGAAGTTTCTCAGAATGCTTCTGTCTAGTTTTTTTTGTGAAGATATTTCCTATTTCACCTTCAGTCATATAGGGCTCAAAAAAATTTTTTGCAGATTCTACAAAAAGACTGTTTCCAAACTGCTCAATCCAAAGAAAGTTTTAACTCTGTAAGATGAATGGACACATCACAAAAAAGTTTATCAGAATGCTTCTGTCTAGTTTTTATGTGAAGACATTTCTTTTCCACCCTAGGCTTCAATGGGCTCAGAAATATCCCTTTGCAGAGTCTACAAAAGGACTCTTTCCAAACTGCTCAATCAAACAAAGGTTGAACACTATGAGATGAATGCACACACTGCAGAGATGTTTCTCACAATGCTTCTGTCTATTTTTTTATGTGAAGGTATTTCCTTTTTCACCATGGGCTTCAAAGCACTCCAAACATCCATTTGCTGATTCCACAAAAAGACTGTTTCCAAGCTGCTCAATCAAAGAAAGGTTCAACTCTATGAGATGAATGCACACATCACAGAGATGTTTCTCACAATGCTTCCGTCTATTTTTTATGTGAAGGTATTTCCTTTTTCACCATAGGTCTCAAAGCGCTCCAAACATCCATTTGCTGATTCCACAAAAAGACTGTTTCCAAACTGCTCAATCAAAAGAAAGGTATAACTCCGTGAGTTGAAAGCACACATCACAAAGAAGTTTCTCAGAAAGCTTCTGTCTAGTTTTTTTGTGAGGATATTTCCTGTTACACCATGGGCCTTAAAGGGCTTAAAAATATTTTTTGCAGATTCCACAAAAAGACTGTTTCCAAATTGCTCAGTGAAAAGAAAGTTTCAACTCTGTGAGTTGAAAGCACACATCACAAAGAAATTTCTCAGAATGTATCTTTCTAGTTTTTTTGTGAAGAAATTTCCTTTTTCACCATAGGCCTCAAAGCACTCAAAGTATCCATTTGCAGATTTTACCAAAAGACTGTTTACAAACTGCTAAATCAAAAGAAAGTTTCAGCTCTGTGATGTGAATGCACGCATCACAAAGAAGTTTCTCAGAAATCTTCTGTTTAGTGTTTATCTGAAGATATTTCCTTTTTCACCATAGGCCCCAAAGCGCTCCAAATATGCATTTCCAGATTCTATAAAAAGTCTGTTTCCAAACTGCTCAATGAAAAGAAAGGTTCGACTCTGTGAGATGAAAGCACATATCACAAAGAAGTTTCTCAGAGTGTTTCTTTCTACTTTTTTTGTGAAGATATTTCCTTTTTCACTATAGGCCTCAAAGCGCTCCAAATATCCATTTGCAGATTATACAAAAAGACTGTTTACAAACGGCTCAATCAAAAGAAAGTTTCAACTCTGTGAGATGAATGCACGCATCACAAAGAAGTTTCTCAGAAATCTTCTGTTTAGTGTTTATCTGAAGATATTTCCTTTTTCACCATAGGCCCCAAAGCGCTCCAAATATGCATTTCCAGATTCTATAAAAAGTCTGTTTCCAAACTGCTCAATGAAAAGAAAGGTTCGACTCTGTGAGATGAAAGCACATATCACAAAGAAGTTTCTCAGAGTGTTTCTTTCTACTTTTTTTGTGAAGATATTTCCTTTTTCACTATAGGCCTCAAAGCGCTCCAAATATCCATTTGCAGATTATACAAAAAGACTGTTTACAAACGGCTGAATCAAAAGAAAGTTTCAACTCTGTGAGATGAATGCATGCATAACAAAGTAGTTTCTCAGAAAACTTCTGTTTGGTTGTTATGTGAAGATATTTCCTTTTTCACCATAGGCCTCAAAACACTCCAATTATCCATTTGCAGATTCTGCAAAAAGAGTGTTTCCAAACTGCTCAGTCAAAAGAAATGCTCAACTCTTTGAGCTGAAAGCACTCATTGAAAAGAAGTTTCTCAGAAATCTTCTGTCTAGCTTTCATGTGAAGGTATTTCCTATATCACCAAAGGCTTCAATGGGCTCAGAAATATCCCTTTGGGGATTCTACAATAAGACTGTTTCCAAACTGCGCTAGCAAAAGAAAGCTTCAACTCTGTGAGATGAATGCACCCATCACAAAAAAAGTTTCCCAGAATGTTTCTGTGTAGTTTTTATATGAAGATATTTCCTACTTCACCATAGGTCTCAAAGGGTTCACAATTATCCCTTTGTAGTTTTTTCAAAAAGACTGTGTCCAAATCTTCAATCAAACAAATGTTCAACTGTGTGAGATGGATGCAAACATCACAAAGAAGTTTCTCAGAATGCTTCCATCTAATACTTATGTGATGATATTTCCTTTTTTACCATAGGCCTCAAAGTGCTCCAAATATCCATTTGCAGATTCTACAAAAAGAGTGTTTCCAAACTTCCCAATCAAAAGAAAGGTTCAACTCTGTGAGATGGAAGCACACATCACAAAGATGTTTCTTAGAAACCTTCTGTCTAGTTTTTATGGGAAGATATTTCATATTTCACCATAGGCCTCAATGGGCTCAGAAATATACCTTTGCAGATTCTACAAAAGGATGGTTTCCAAACTGCTCAATCCAAAGAAGGGTTCAACACTGTGAGATGAATTCACACATCACAAAGAAGTTTCTCAGAAAGCTTCTCTCTAGTTTTTATGTGAAGATATTTCCTTTTTCACCATAGGCCTCAAACCGCTCGCAAATATCCCTCTACAGATACTACAAAAAGACTGTTTCCAAAGTGCTCAATCAAAAGAAAGGTTCAACTCTGTGTGATGAATGCACACGTCACCAAGAAGTTTCTCAGAATGCTTCTATCTAGTTTTTATGTGAAGATATTTCCATTCTCACCAAGGCCTCAAAACTCTCCAAATATCCATTTGCAGATTCTACAAAAAGATGGTTTCCAAACTGCTCAATGAATAGAAAGGTTCAACTCTGTGAGGTGAAAGCACACATCACAAAGAAGTTTCATAGAATGTTGCTTTCTAGTTTTTATGTGAAGATACTTCCTTTTTCACCATAGTCCTCAAAGCGCTCTAAATATCCATTTGCAGATTCTACAAAAAGTGTGTTTCCAAACTGCTCAATCAAAAGAAAGGTTCAACTCTGTGAGATGAAAGTACACATCACAAAGAAGTTTCTCAGAAATCTTCTGACTAGTTTTTATGTGAAGCTATTTCCTAATTCACCATAGGCCTCAATGGGCTCACAAATATCCCTTTGCAGATTCTACAAAAGGACTCTTTTGAAACTCCTCAATCAGAAGAAAGGTTCAACTCTGTGATATGAATGCATACATCGCAAAGAAGTTTCTCAGAATGTTTCTGTCTAGCCCCCAAAGCACTCCAAATATCCATTTGCATGTTCTACAAAAAGACTGCTTCCAAACTCCTCAATCAAAAGAGAGGTATAACTCTGTGATAGGAAAGCACACTTCACAAAGAAGTTTCTCGGAATGCTTCTGTCTAGTTTTTATGTGAAGATATTTCCTATTTCACCTTAGGCCATAAAGGGCTCACAAATATCCCTCTGCAGATTCTAGAAAAGGACTCTTTCCAAACTGCTTAATCAAAAGAAAGTTTCAACTCTGTGAGATGAATGCACACATCACAAAGAAGTTTCTCAGAAAGCTTCTGTCCACTTTTTATTTGAAGATATTTCCCTTTTCACCATACCTATCAAAGCACTCAAAATATCCCTTTGCAGATTCTCTGAAAAGACTGTTTCCAAACTTCTCAATCAAAAGAATGATTCAACTCTGTGAGATGAATGCACATATCACAAAGAAGTTTCTCTGAAGTCTTCTGTCTAGTTTTTATGTGAAGATATTTCCTTTTTCACCATAGGCCTAAAGCCACTCACAAATATCCCTTTGCAGATTTTACAAGAACAGAGTTTCCAGACTCATCAAAGAATAGAAACTTTTATCTCTCTGAGATGAGTGCACATCTTACAGAACAGCTTCTCAGAAAAATTCTTTATAGTTTTTATTGAAGATATTTCCTTTTTCACCATAGGCCTCATAGAGCTGACAAATATCCCTTTGCGGATTCTACAAAAAGTCTGTTTACAAACTGCTCAATCAAAAGAATGGTTCAACTCTGTGAGATAAATGCACACATCACAAAGAGGTTTCTCAGAAATTTTCTGTCTAGTTTTTATGTGAAGATATTTCCTTTCTCACCATAGGCCTCAAAGCGCTAATAAATATCCCTTTGCAGAATCTACAAATAGACAGTTTTCAAACTGCTCAGCAAAAAGACTGTTTCAACTCTGTGAGATGAATGCACCCATGACAAGGAGGTTTCTCAGAGAACTTCTGTCTATTTATTATGTGAAGGTATTTCATTTTTCCCCAAAGGCCTCAAAGCGCTCACCAATATCTCCTTGCAGATTCTACAAGAACAGAGTATCCAAACTGATTAATCAAAAGAATGCTTCACATAAAATCCCTAGAAGAAAACCTAGGCAATACCATTCAGGACATAGGCATGGGCAAGGACTTCATGTCTAAAACACCTAAAGCAATGGCAACAAAGCCACAATTGACAAATGGGATCTAATTAAACTAAGGAGCTTCTGCACAGCAAAAGAAACCACCATCAGAGTGAACAGGCATCCTACAGAATGGGAGAAAGTTTTTGCAACCTACTCATCTGACAAAGGGTTAATATCCAGAATCTACAATGAACTCAGACAAATTTACAGGAAAAAAGTCAAACAACCCCATCAAAAAGTTGTTGAAGGTTATGAACAGACCCTGATCAAAAGAAGACATTTATGCAGCTAATGAACAAATGAAAAAATGCTCATCATCATTGGCTATCAGAGAAATGCAAACCAAAACCACAATGAGATATCATCTCACACCAGTTAGTATGGTGATAATTAAAAAGTTAGGAAACAACAGGTGCTGGAGAGGATGTGAGAAATAGGAACATTTTGCACTGTTGGTGGACTGTAAACTAGTTCAACAATTGTGGAAGTCAGTGTGGTGATTCCTCAGGGATCTAGAACTAGAAATATCACTTGACTCAGCCATCCCATTACTGGGTATATACCCAAAGGATTATAAATCATGCTGCTTTAAAGACACATGCACACGTATGTTTATAGCGGCACTATTCACAACAGCAAAGACTTGGAACTGACCTAAATGTCCAACAACGATAGACTGTATGAAGAAAATGTGGCACATATACACCATGGAATACTATGCAGCCATAAAAATAATGAGTTCATTTCCTTTGTAGGGACATGGATGAAGCTGGAAACCATCACTCTCAGCGAACTATTGGAAGGACAAAAAATCAAACACCACATGTTCTCACTCATAGTTGGGAATTGATCAATGAGAACACATGAACACAGGAAGCAAAACACCACACACCACACATCAGGGACTGTATTCGGGTGGGGGGAGGGGGAGGGATAGCATTAGGAGATATACCTAATGCTAAATGATGAGTTCATGGGTGCAGCACACAAACATGACACATGTATACATATGTAACAAACCTGCACATTGTACATATGTACCCTAAAACTTAAAGTATAATAATAATAAAAGTAAATAAATAAATAAATAAACCCAGAGCTCCAAAAAAAAAAAAAAAGAAGAATGGTTCAACTCTATGAGATGAATGCACACGTCACAAATAAATCTCTCAGAAAGCTTCTGTCTACATTTTATATGAAAATATTTCCTTTTTCACCATAGGCCTCAAAGCACTCACAAATATCCCTTTGCAGACTCTACAAGGAAAGAGTTTCCCATCTGCTCAATGAAAAGAAACCTTTACCTCTGTGAGATGAATGCACACATTACAAAGCAGTTTCTCAGAAACCTTCTGTCTAGTTTTCATGTGAAGTTATTTCCTTTTTCCCCATAGGCCTCAAAGTGCTCACAAATATTCCTTTGCTGATCCTACAAAAAGACTGTTTCCAGACTGCTCAATCAAAAGAATGTTTCAACAGTGTGAGATGAGTGCACACATCACACAGAAGTGTCTCAGAAAGCTTCTGTCCCAAGTGAAGATATTTCCTTTTTCACCACAGGCCTCAAAACATTCACAAATATCCCTTTGCAGATTCTACAAAAAGACTGTTTCCAATATGCTCTATCAATAGAAAGGTTTAACTCTGTGAGATGAATTCACACATCACAAAGCAGTTTCTCAGAAACCTTCTTTCTAGTTTTTATGTGAAGATATTTCCTTTTTCACCATAGGCTTCAAAGTGCTCAGAAATATCCTTTTGCAGATTTTACAAAAAGATTGTTACCAAACTGCTCTATCAAAAGAATGGTTCAACTCTGTGAGATGAGTGCACACTAACAAAAAAAGTTTCTCAGAAAGCTTCTGTCTAGTTTTTATGTGAAGATATTTCCTTTTTCACCATTGGCCTCCAAGCACTCACAAATATCCCTTTGTCAATTCTACAAAAATACTGTTTCCAAACTGCTCAATCAAAAGAATAGTTCAACTCTGTGAGATGAATGCATACATAACCAGGAAGTTTCTCAGAAACTTCTGTCAAGTTTTTATGTGATGATATTTCCTTTTTCACCATAGGCCTCAAAGTGCTCACAAATATCCCTTTGCAGATTCTACAAGAAAAGAGTTTCTCATTTGCTCAATGAAAAGAAACATTTACCTCTGTGAGATGAATGCACACATCACAAAGCAGATTCTCATAAACCTTCTTTCTAGTTTTTATGTGAAGATATTTCCTTTTTCACCATAGGCCTCAAAGCTCTCACAAATATCCCTCTGCAGATTCTACAAAAACACCATTTCCAAGCATTTCAATCAAAAGAATGGTTTAACTCTGTGAGATGAATGCACACGCCACAAAGTAGTTTCTCAGAAAGCGTCTGTCTAGTTTTTATGTGAAGATATTTCCTTTTCCACCATAGGCCTCAAAGCACTCACAAATACCATTTTGCAGATTGTACAAGAACTGAGTTTCCAGACTGATCAAAGGAATGAAACGTTTAACTCGGTGAGATGAATGCACACATCACAGAGCAGTTTCTCAGAAACCTTCTTTATAGTTTTTATGTGAAGGTATTTCCTTTTTCACCATGGCCTCAAAGCACTCACAAATATCCCTTTGCAGATTCTACAACAACGGAATTTCCAAACTGCTCATAATTAGTTTTTAGGACCAACATGAGCATTTAGACACACTGCTTGTGGTGCAGCACACATGTATTATCCACACTGAAATTAGGAATTCAACTGAAGTTCATGTAGAGCCAAAAATGTGAATATATGGGAGACCTCAGAGATGATCTAGCTCACTTTAATTTGTAGAAAAGAAAACAGGTTCAGGGAAAGGGCATGCATTGCTAAGGTGATTCAGCAGCTTTGGCACAGAAACACAACACACTTAAGGTGACTCTTCAGGTTTGGAGTAGAAACGCAATATAATCTCTGTTCTTTTGCTTCTCAGATCCAGAATTTTTTCACAATACTGAACTACTTATGTTTCTGATTCCTTATTTTTTCTTTCTAAATTTTGCCAGTACTGTCTAACAAAGATCTATTCTTTACCATAAATATTTAAATTCGTTACCACTATTGTCTCTTTATAAGTAAAATTACTAGTTGCTATTATAAATGATTATTCAATCACTTTTCATTTTTGGGGGGTTCAGTACAAAGTTAGTAACAAATAAACAATATTGGCCTTGGCAATGCAAGAGGAGCTCAAGTCCTCCAGGGCACATCAGGAAAAGGCTAAATGACAGCTGTGCTGTGAGTGGACAGAATACAGCTCTCATACAGACTATTGAGTATTTGATGTTCTTCAACAATTTCATTAATCTTCAGTTTTTTTCCTCTTTGAAGTGAAAGTCTGCTATGACTTTCAAGTTTCTTTTGAAATAATTATAGATTCACAGGAAGTTGCAAAAGGTACAGGGATGTCTTAAGTACTCTTCACTAATTCCAGTGGTGACATCTTACATAGCTATAGAGCATTATCAAAACCTGGAAACTGACATAGGTACAATTCAGAAAGCTTACTCAGATAGCAACCGTTTTGTATGCATTCATTTTTGTATGTGTGTATGCGTGTGCGTGTGTTCTGTGCATTTTTATGTGGTGTAGATCTCTGTAACTACCACTTCCACAGTCAAGATACAGAACTGTAGCATCACCACCCGGCTCCAACTTGCGATCTTTGCTGACACTCTGACACGTTTTCCTCCACCTCTTCCCCTTGGCAACCCCATAGCCTGTTCTCCATCTTTACAATTATATTTCAATAATTTATATAAATGTAATTGTACAAAATCGTATTTTTAAATGGAAAAAAACAAGTCACAAATAGTTTTGTTAGCACTGTAAAATAGTCTTTAACATTCATTTGTTTTATGTTCTATTTGTCTCAGAAAAATGTGCTTTGTTCTTTCCCATACTTTCTGATATCAGGATAGGAAATCAATACCAAACAAAAAATTTCCATTCATTTTTTTCCACAGCTTGGTTTTCACTGTTGTTGCCCAACATTTATTGTTCCATTTACTCTTTCTCTCTGTTTTCCATCACATAAAAGTAACTTTGTGTTCTTTATCTCTTCTAAGAAAACTTGGTAATGAGTCTTTAATGTGACGCCTGGACCACCCTTGTTTTGATTTTGTGTTATGGGTGTTCTTTTGTTTGATCATTCTCATGGAGAGTCCTTGTGAAGCTGGGCTTTTCCAGTGGTTTGTCAAAATGGAAATAGATATTTAACAAACCAAACATAAAATGACCTTGCTCCAGGAATGCATCATTTCTGAGAAAACACTACCTCTTCCAACTAGAGATTGTGAATATTACTCATACTATCCTTTACTCCCTTTATTAAAACTGTATTTTTTTTTACACATTTGTATAACTCGGGTAATGAAATGTGAAACTAAGTGATTGCCTACCAATTACAATTGGTGTTAACGATGCTACTGGGAGGCCACCCCTACAGTGGCTGCACCGAGTTTAGGGACTTGCTAGCTTTGCTAAGTTACATGGGATTGCCTACGTGCTAAATGGAGGTGGGGGACTGGTCCAAGGATGCAGCAGCGCCACCCTGGCCCGACGTGGAAGCTACAGACCGGGCCCCAGGCACTGGGCGGCTGAGAGCCGGAGGCGGGCTCACGATGGTGGACGACACCACAGCATCCAGCGAGTCACCGCCAAGGGCACGCAAACCCCAGGACCGCGGCCACGAGTGCTGCCAGACGGGCCGCGTGGCGGGCTTCCGGCCCCGGACACAACAGCGATGCGTGCTGGGCAGGCGGGGGGCGGGCGGGCGAGGAGGACTGTGCCTTGGAGGGGTGTTGGGGAGGAGGGGCGCTGCAGTAGCGGTGGGCTGGTTGCTGGGCAACCACCAGGGGCGGCGGCGAACCGCGGTGACCGGGACATGCTCCCCCACCCTCTCTCCGGCGGACCCTTCCTACTTGCCTTCCTCCCCCCACAACAAACCCACACTACCCACGACGCGCGACGACGACGGCACGGGACCTTCCACCCCACCAGGGCCAACGAACCCTGCACCATGAGCTGCCTGAGGCGCGAGGGAGCCACCGAGGGAGGAACCCGGACTGCGGTGGTGGCCACGGGAACTCGGCCCCAGCCGGCTCTCTTCCCTCCTGTTTTTGCGGGTGGCAACGCCGCCCTCTCTCTCTTCCTCACAGCTGGGAGCCCCCCTTCCCCATGCCATTCAATGCGTGACCACACAGGGCCTGTGGGGGGAGGGAGAAGGGGCGGGCATGGTGGTAGAGGAGGGCGGACGTCACTGGTCTGCACTTGGGGGGACAGAGGGCCCCGGCAGGCCATGCAAGGGAACTCCCAGCCGTGAACCTCAAGGAGCCCGGAGGCACCCCCGGGGACTATTGATCCACAAGCGACGCTTAGACAGGCATAGCCCTGGGAGGAATCCGGGCCGCAAGTGCGTTCGAAGTGTCGATGATCAATGTATCCTGCAATTCACATTAGTTCTCACAGCTAGCTGTGTTCTTCATCAACGCAGAAGGCCAGTGATCCACCGCTAAAAGTCATACAAGGTGGATTTGGCAAGGGTGCTCCCAACACCCGGAGGCCCTACTGGCACAACAGGTGCCCCAGAGGGTTTACCTCAGGCTGTCCATTCAGACAGCAATGGGACCAGACTCCAGAGAGGGGTCGGAAGGTTTCACAACACAGGGAGGCAGTGCCGACCATGAGGGGGCGAACGTTGACAGCACCCCACGGGCACCCAGGGATTCCCACCCCCACAGCGCAAGGCACAGGCCACATGCGCGGCACACGTGCGATGGCACGACGGCCGCCGGTAAAGCCCCCACTGGTGTCAGCGGTGACACGCAAGTGCGGCGCGGCCCCGGCTGGCTGAGGGGACAGAGTCGGTGGGGGAGGCGAGAGAGGGGCGGGCCCCTCCCGAACAGACTCCCCCGCAGACCCACCGCACCCAACCCACGGGAAGACGGGCGACACCCCAAGGGGTCCATAAACCTCCCCGCCAGAACACGCTAGGAACCTGGACGGTGGTGGCGAACGAGGAGGTGGGGACAGGTGTCCAGCCCCCTACCCTCGAGACGCCCTAGCGGGAAGGCTGGGGAGAGTGAGCAGGCCAGGCCGGGCCCAGTGGCATGGTGTGGCAGAGGCGAGGATGGTGGCAGCCACAGCAGCGATGGGAACCCGGCCGGCCCCAATGGGAGCCGGCGGGATGGGGCCGAGCCAGCGGGACAGGGCGGGACGACAGCTCTGGCGGGGAGGACACCGAGACCCCCACCCCACCAGGACGCCGAGAACCATTCCCTCACCCGCCGACACACACGTGGGGGCCACGGCAGGGGGCCGCTCCCCGCTGCTCACCAGGCCAGCAAGGCATCCAGCCCGCCCCATGATATGCACACATGGTTTCGTCCCTGCACGCGTGTCTCTCTCTCCCCCTTCTCCCTCCCGAGTTCTCCGGCTCTCAGGGCAGGCGGGGCCGTGCAACAAACAAAGGGCACGACCCCGCCCACACACGCGCCACACGAGGAACATGGTCTGCCAAGGAGGAAGGATGCGGCGGCACTGCCGCGGCTTCACCCCCGCGGCTTCGCTCTTCTCGGTTAATGATCCCTCAGCAGGTTCACCTACCGAAACTTTGTTAGGACTTTTACTTCCTCTAGATAGTCAAGTTCACCTGTCTTCTCAGCGCTCTGCCAGGGTAGTGGGCTGACCTGGCGGGGCCCATCCGAGGGCCTCACTAAACCATCCTATCAGTAGTAGCGACGGGCAGTGTGTACATAGGGCAGGGACTTCAGGTAAGCTTATGACCCACACTTACTGGAAATTCCTCCTTCATGGGGAATAATTGCAATCCCCCATCCCCATCACGAATGGGGTTCAACAGGTTACCCGCCTCTGCCACATAGGGTAGGCACACGCTGAGCCAGTCAGTGTAGCGCATGTGCAGCCCCGTACATCTAAGGGCATCACAGACCTGTTATTGCTCAATTTCCGGTGGCTGAACGCCACTTGTCCCTCTAAGAAGTTGGGGGACGCCGACCGCTCAGAGGTCGCGTAATAAGTTAGCATGCCAGAGTCTCGTTGGTTATCGGAATTAACCAGACAAATCACTCCACCAACTAAGGCCATGCACCACCACCCATGGAACAGAGAAAGAGCTATCAATCTGTCAATCCTGTCCATGTCTGGCCGGGTGATTTTTCCCATGTTGAGTCAAATTAAGCCATAGGCGCCACTCCTGCTGGTCCCTTCCACCAATTCCTTTAAGTTTCAGCTTTGCAACCATACTCCCCCCGGAACCTAAAAACCCAAAGACTTTAGTTTCTTGGAAGCTGCCCAGCGGGTCATGGGAATAACGCCGCCACATCGCCAGTTGGCATCGTTTATGGTCGGAACTACGACTGTATCTGATCGTCTTCGAACCTCTGACTTTCGTTCTTGATTAATGAAAACATTCTTGGCAAATGCTTTCACTCTGGTCCGAACTGCGCCGGTCCAAGAATTTCACCTCTAGCAGCGCAATACGAATGCCCCCACCTTTCCCTCTTAATCATGGTCTCAGTTCCGAAAACCAACAAAATAGAACCGCGGTCCTATTCCATTATTCCTAGCTGAGGTATCCAGGTGGCTCGGACCTGCTTTGAACACTCTAATTTTTTCAAAGTAAACGCTTCGGGCTGCAGGACACTCAGCTAAGAGCATCAAGGGGGCGCCAAGAGGCAAGGGGTGGGGATGGGCGGTGGCTCGCCTCGTAGCGGACCGCCCGCCCATTCCCAAGATCCAACTACGAGCTTTTTAACTGCAGCAACTTTAATATACGCTATTGGAGCTGGAATTACCGTGGCTGCTGGCACTAGATTTGCCCTCCAATGGATCCTCATTAAAGGATTTAAAGTGGACTCATTCCAATTACAGGACCTCAAAAGAGTCCTGTATTGTTATTTTTCGTCACTACCTCTTCGGGTCGGAAGTAGGTAATTTGCATGCCTGCTGCCTTCCTTGAATGTGGTAGCCATTTCTCAGGCTCCCTCTCCAGAATCGAACTCTGATTCCCCATCTCCCATGGTCACCATGGTAGGCACAGCAACTACCATTGAAAGTTGATAGGGCAGACGTTCGAATGGGTCGTCCCTGCCACGGGGGGCATGCGATTAGCCCGAGGCTATCTAGAGTCACCAAAGCCAGTGGCACCCGAACCCCTCCCCCGGCCTGGGCTGAAGAGGGGCTGACCGGGTTGGTTTTGATCTGATAAATGCACGCATCTTCCCCGCGAAGGGGATCAGTGCCCTTCGGCATGTATTAGCTCTATAATTACCACAGTTTTGCAAGTAGGAGAGGAGAAAGCGACCAAAAGAACCGTAACTGATTTAATGAGCCATTCGCAATTTCACTGTACCAGCCCTGCGTACTTAGACATGTATGGCTTAATCTTTGAGACAAGCATATGGTACTGGTAGGATCAACCACATAAGTAGAAAGCGGCCTCCGGGCCTCGCAAGGATGAGCCCGGAGTCCCAGTCACGAGGATGGGGTGGCAGGGTGGGCGACCAGGCGTGTGGGAGGGATGGAGCAGCTCAGTGCGGTGGGAGGGGGGTGGTGGAGCGGCGAACCAGAAATCCCATACACCCACAGTACACATCACCCCACGATGGGCTCACCACTCCCGACCCTTCGCGCCCACGTGCGAGGAGGCAGACCGCCCGACCCGTGAGCGGCAGCCGCGAGGGACAGGCGGCCACTCGCGCATGGCAGGTGTGGGGCAGCCCCGACGTTTGGGCAGCAAACGAGAGGTGGACCGCGGTGCCCGGGGTCTCAACGCCAGCGGCCTCCAAGCACCAAGGCGGCACCGAGCGGCACCTGGAGCGGCCGACTGGCCTTCGGCGGGCCCGCGGCTCCCACATCGCCGCCGCCATCGCAGCCAGCGCCCGGAATCCTCTTCCCTGCACGCGCTGCAGGCCGACCCCAAACCCTCCGGGCGCCCACCAGGCCCATGCGGGGCACCGCCGACCTGGTCCCGAAGGCGCGTGCCCAGGGACACGGACAACGGGCCAACCAGTGGCCGGCGGTGGTGCCACACAAGGCGGAGCAGGGTTTGGTCCCAGACGGGGCCACCACAGCCTAAGCCAGCGAGCCGCTCGGGGAGAGAGGATCCGCGGGTGGGGAGGGGGGCACAGACAGGCAAGGCCAGGGACCCCGAGGGCAAGGGCACCCGGGAGCCCGCAGAGGGGCGGCTCGGGCAGAAACCTCAGGCACGTCCGGGCCACCAGGAAAACACGGCCATGGGATCCCACTGCCACAGACACTAGGGAGGTCCCGTGGCGCCCCGCCTAGGACGCCGGACGGCCCTTGGCACCCACCGAGACCCGCCTCACGAGCCCGGGTCCTGCCATCGGGACCCAGAAGCGACTGCAGCCACAAACCCAATGCCAGGGCCACGTTGCGCATTTCTCGTCCATCCTCCCACCCGTTCAAGCTCTGGGAGACCAGCGTGCCCCCCACTTGGGACACTTCCCATGGCCAGGAGGCCCAATGCCCTGCCATGCAAACGCGGTCGTCGGCACCGGTCGCTGCTCCTCAGGGGAGCGGGTCACGAGCCGGACAGAACGCTGGGCACAGCCACTGCTCGCGAAGCCTCCCAAACGCTAGGACGCAGGCTCGGCCTGGCGGGATCCTCCCCCGACTAGGAAGGGGGAGGCGCGGGCCACACAGTAGGCGACGAGCTGCCCTCCATCCCCACCGCTGAGGCCAGGGGAACCCTCGCTCTCCCCATGTCACCCCGTCGAGGGGGAAGTGGAGGAGGGTCCCCTGCAAGCGAGTGACTACGGCAGCGCTACCATAACGCAGAGAGAGGCGGCAGGCAGGGGAATCCGGTACTCCAAAGGCACACCTGTCGGATCGCTAAAGAAGGCTTTCTCACCGAGGGTGGGTCACACTCCCCACCCGCCAATCGCCCCTCATCGGGCCCGCAGAGGCAGTCAGGGACGCCTGGGGAAGTGAGGGGGCCGGCGGTACCAGGAAAAATCTGCGTGCGGCAACTTTGAGCCTTCGCGGTCTGGGCGGGGGGCCTGGCCACTGTACGTGGGTGCAATCCCCCAAGTGCCCCCCCGTCCACCCGCCTCCTTTCTCCCAGGCAAAGCGCCTCCAAGTAAACCCACACACAACCTGTTGGAGGCAGAACGGTAGCCCCTCGGTGGCCGGCCGGCGCATGCGTCACCTGCCCGAGCCCACCGCGCTCGCTCACACGGCCCACGCGCACACGCCAGAGGGGAGCACGGGACCTGCACTTGCCAGACCAGGCGGCGCCCTTCCCTGTGTGGGAGGGGCGCATCTCACTCAACCCCCTCGACCCCCACACCAATGAGCTCCCTCAGGACCCACTCTCGGACATCGCTGTGGTGAATGGAGGAGGGGGAGCTGGGGGTGGGAACCACACACCACCGCTCGGCCTCCGGCACCTGAATGATAAGATGGCGGGGGAAGGGGGAGAGCCGGGCGTGGTACGCTCACGCCTGTCATCCCTGCACTTTGGGAGGTGAGGGAAGGTGGATCCCTCGATCCAAGCTTTGGCAACATGGTGAAACCTCGTCTCTAAAAAAATACAAAAACTAACTGGTTTCATAACCTGGACTCAAAATTAATAAATAGATAAATAGGCCGGGTGCGGTGGCTCACGCCAGTAATCCCAGCACTTTGGGAGGCCGAGGCGGGCAGATCACGGGGGTCAGAAGATCGAGACCATCCTGGCTACCACAGTGAAACCCCATCTCTACTCAAAATACAAAAAATTAGCCAGACACTGATGGGTGCCTATAGTCCCAGCTATTTGGGAGGCTGAGACAGGAGAATGGCGTGAACCCCGGAGGCAGAGCTTGCAGTGAGCCATCACGCCACTGCACTCCAGTCTGGGCAACAGAGCGAGAGTCCGTCTCAAAAAATAATAATAATAATAAATAGATGGAAATAGAAAATTTAAAAAAAAACGTAGCTGGCCGGGCGCAATTGCTCACGCCTGTCATCCCAGCACTTTGGGAGGCCAAGGTGGGCAGATCACCTGAGGTGGCCAGTTCGAGACCCACCTGACCCACATAGAGAAATGCCATCTCTACTAACAATACAAAATCAGCCGGGTGTGGTGACACATGCCTGTAATCCCAGCTACTCAGGAGGCTGAGGCAGGAGAATCGCTTGAATACGGGAGGTGGAGGTTGCGGCGAGCCGAGATGGTGCCATTGCACTCCAGCATGGGCAACAAGAGTGAAACTCCGTCCAAAAAAAAAAATTAAGCCCTGTATTCTGTTATTTTTACTTCCTACCCTGAGAAGAACATAATACAACTGTTGTCTGTCTGCCTGCCTGCCTGCCTGCCTGCCTGCCTGTGACAGGGCCTCACTCTGTCTTTCGCCCAGACTGGAGTGCACTGACACCATTATGGCTCACTCATTGCAGCCTCAAACTCCCCAGGGTTAGGCGATTCCTCAAGGGATCCTACGGCCTCGGCCTCCCAAAGTGTTGGGGTTACAGGCGTGAGCCACCATCACCCGGCCTGAGTTAATACATCTGGTCTCACTACGTGTTAACCACACACCCATGAAGAACTCAAGTCAAGAGAGAGTTGGTAAAAGACTCTCAGCATTCTCTCCCGAAAGCAGTGAGGTGGATGGCGGCCGTGTGTCCCGAGCTCCTGTGGTTTCAGGTGATTTCCAATGTTTCCAGAGAGGCGTGAGCCGCAGTCATTCGGGGCATCCGAGCATGAGATGGGGTTTCTGACGCGACTTAAGGGCCAGGAAGGGCCAGAATCTGCCAAGGCCTGTGTCCCAGGGTGGGGTCGATGGAACCCAAGGTAGAGGGAGTCTGTGGTCCGCATGGAGAGAGCTCCAGCCCTAGGCCCCACTGTGTAGACTGAATCAGAAGGAAGAGAGTCCTTCGTCCTACATGCCACATTCCTCCACAGAACTTGGGAGCAAATCCGTTTTCCAAACATGAGGTGACTCTCGCTTTGCAATGGATAACAAGGGGACAGGCTTTCCAAGTCTGCAGGGTAAAGAAGTCATTCTGGCTCGGCCTCCCCCATCCCCTGGTAACTGGTGAGTTTAAATGAGCCAAGGCTGGCTGGGCCGGAGCTCCTACGGGGGGGGGGAGGGGGGTGGGCAGGGTGGGGGGGTGCCTGAGACACTGCAGAAAGTGGGTCTGAGCCTCAAGGATGACGGTGCTGCAGGAACCCGTCCAGGCTGCTATATGGCAAGCACTAAACCACTATGCTTACTGAGATGGGGTTTTCCTCGCAGAACACCTTTATGCAGAAGTACACTCAGAAGAAGCCATGTTTTACTGGCGACTTGTTCTTACCGCCCAGGAAAGGCCTACAAAGCATATAGACTCTTGAAAGGACACAGTTGTCCTACACCGCAATGCAAATACCTGCTTGCAAAATGTTGTGTTGATCTCAGCAAGTTTGCAGAAGGGGAACAAATCTTATCCGGTGGAGTGTTTAATAAGTAGAAAAGCCATGATGATATTGTTACTGAGTTTGGTGATTCAGCTTGCTTTCCCCTTCCATTGTTGGGACATGTATATTGCAAGACTGATCGGCTTGCCAAAGGATCAGAATGTGACCAAAAGTGGCTTAGTTTAAAGCCTTTCCTCTGGTATCCCTTTGAATCATTATGTGAAATAGGTGAAAAGCCAGATCCTGACCAAACATTTAAATTCACGTCTTTTCAGAACTTTAGCAACTGTCTGCCCAACTCTTGCACAACACAAGTACCTAGTCATAGTTTATGTCACAGACAGCCTGAGACCTTTCTTACGGAAACAACTGAATTAGACAGATTGAATTTAGAATCTTCAAATTCAAAGTATTCCTTGAATACAGATTACTCAGTGTCTTCTACTGATTCAGCGTAATTTCACCTGATACTGTCCCACTGGGAACAGGAACTTCCATATTATCTAAACAGGTTCAAAATAAACCAAAAACTGGTCGAAGTTTATTAGGAGGACCAGGAGCTCTTAGTCCATTAACCCCAAGTTTTGGGATTTTGCCATTAGAAACCCCAAGTCCTGGAGATGGATCCTATTTACAAAACTACACTAATACACCTTCTGAAATTAACGTGCCATCCACCAGAGCCCCTTCAAAAAAGTCTGTTGCCAGAATCGGCCAAACTGGAGCAAAGTCTGTCTTCTCACAGAGTGGAAGTAGAAGAGAGGTAACTCCAATTCTTGCACAAACAGAAAGTTCTGGTCCATAAATAAGTACAACACCTCAGGTATTGAGCCCCACTATGACATATCCCCTAAATGTACTGCCTCGAAGAAATTCATGACTCTTTACTAGTGACAGTTCCACAACAAAGGAGAATAGGAAGAAATTAAAAAAGAAGTTTCCACCTAAAATCCCAAACAGAAAAACAAAAAGTAAAACTAATAAAGGAGGAATAACTCAACCTAACATAGATGATAGCCTGGAAATTACAAAATTGGACTCTTTCATCATTTCAGAAGAGAAAATATCCACAATCACACCTCAGATTCAGGCTTTTAATCATAAAAAACAGCAGCAGAAGGCTTGATGAGTCTTCTTCGTGAAAGGGGGAAAGTTATTTAGCTTTCTGCTCATACCACTGCAAAGAAGCTATAAATATTTTGAGCCATCTACCTTCTCACCACTATAATACTGGTTGGGTACTGTGCAAAATTGGAAGGGTCTATTTTGAACTTTCAGAGTACAAGCAAGCTGAAAGAATATTCTCAGAGGTTAGAAGGATTGAGAATTATAGAGTTGAAGGCATGGAAATCTACTCTACAACATTTTGGCATCTTCAAAAAGATGGTGCTCTTTCAGTTCTGTCAAAAGACTTAACAGACGTGGATAAAAATCTGCCAGAGGCCTGGTGTGCTGCAGGGAACTGTTTCAGTCTGCAATGGGAACACGATATTGCAATTAAATTCTTCCAGAGAACTATCCAAGTGGATCCAAATTATGCTTATGCCTATACTCTATTAGGGCGAGAGTTTGTCTTAACTGAAGAATTGGACAAAGCATTAGCTTGTTTTTGAAATGCTATCAGAGTCAATCCTAGACATTGTAATGCACGGTAAGTGGTAATGAAGTGTAAAGACAAAGTCTTGTTGATGGTGCTGGTAGTCACTAATTTTTCTTGTTAGATAGCTCTTTTATTGTCATGAATTTGGTTACTAATATTTAGGGATGGTACATACTGGTCAATAACTTCAAACTAACATGTTTTCTTATGAAATGTGTGTCTTTAACAAACTCTTAAGTTAACTAATGATAATAGAATACCAGAACCTTATACTCAACAGTTTCAGTCTTCTACCAAACTTTTGCAGATACTGTAGTTGTGTTTTGTTTGTTTGTATGCTTGTTTAGTTTTGTTACTTGATTTGTTAGTTTTTCATCGAACAGAGAAATGGTGATTGGGACAAAAAGTGCTTGGGAAATTGGAAAGGAATAGCATAATTCACTTATTGGATAATAGAAAAAAAAAACACTGAAAAAATTCACTAGTTGTTGCTTTTTGACAGTGTTCCAGGTTATTGAGTTACTATTAAGAACTTAGTATACCCTTTTATTTAGCAGTATCTCTGTTTTCCTTTTTTTACTTCTGTATAAGTAGACACATAGGAAATTACTATCCAGGTCATATTGTTATCAACTGAATAACATATGAAAAAGTTTGGTCCTACATCTGCCTCAACACCATACTTACTGTTGACATTTATTGTATTTTTCTGAACTGACTTAAAAGTTTAAATGTCAAGAGAAGGCCAGGCAAGGTGGCTCATGCCTGTCATCCTAGCACTTTGGGAGGCTGAGTCGGGCGGATCACAAGGTCAAGAGATTGAGACCATCCTGTCCAACATGGTGAAACCCCGTCTCTATTAAAATATAAAAATTAGCTGGGCATGGTGGCAGGCACCTGTAGTCCCACCTACTCAGGAGGCTGAGGCAGGAGAATCGCTTGAACCTGGGAAGTGGAGGTTGCAGTGAGCCAAGATTATGCCATTTTACTCCAGCCTGGGTGACAGAGCAAAACGCCATCTCAAGAAAAAAATAGAATAAAATAAATAAATTAATAAATAAATATCAAGAGAAAGTATAATTCTGAAGTCATAACTCTGTGGAAGCTTTTTTGTCAGATACGGTTATCTTTGGGGGTAATTATTATAGCAGTTGAGTTTTAACACTTGATTTGCTTCTAAATCTGAAGCATTACATTACTAAAACATTTTTTGATTTGTGACTATATTGTTTAATGGATTATATCTCATTTTGCAGTAGTAGTTGCAGTGTCTGAAAGATTGCCAAAAAAATAGTGCTAGTTTTGCTGACAAATGTAACAATCAACTTACCAAGACTGCCTTCTCTTCTGATAGCTATGTTCTCCGTAATACTTTAAGAACTCAGTTCTTCTTAAGACTTGTGTTGTTTTTGCTTTTTTCCCAAGTCTGGTTGAACCGTGTGTTGTTCTTTTTTAAAAGTCTATTGTCTGTTCAGCTATTCTGCAGGAGTCGCATTCTTAAAAACCTTAACCATATCAAAAATTGTGTTTAAAGGAGGATTATTCAGATTGGCCAGCTTTTACTAAGAGGGGTTTAAATGCTGACGTATTTAGGTAACTCTAAATACTGAGCAACTTTATTCTAACTACAAAATAGATAGCCTTTCTTTTGTTTTCACTTTCACTATCATTAGCACCGTGTTTAATACCTTTTCTTCATCTATAACACAATTATAACCATATATAAAGCCACTCAAATAAAGCAGATATATTGTGCTTTAAAAAAAATA